>NC_000014.9:53551106-53854137 GCF_000001405.40 Homo sapiens
TGTGCTTCCATGGTAAAATTCTACCTTTCTAATTGCTAAGAGGAAAATTGTTAATCCTTTTGATTCAGGGAGCAGTGTAATAGCCTTAAAATTGGCAACTTAATTGAAAAACTCAGAAATTGCTGACTCCTTGGGGTAGTTTTTTAATAGCATTTCCCTCATGATTCTTTCCTTCTTTCTTTTTCAAAATAAAATAAAATCTGTTACTTAGCATGTCCAGTCAAAAGACTATCTCCTTGTTATCTCTCTATTCTCAGATTCCATTTGGATTTCATGCATGATCTTAGGTATTTTATTGGTTGTTACAGATCAGCTTAGTGGGTTATTATAGAAAATGCTCACTGCAAAACAGAAGGGACATGTGATGCCGTCTAATGGGAAATAGAAATTCTTTTCCTCCCTCTGTTCCCATTATGTAAGAATAAACAACTTAAATTGCTACTCTTAGATTCCAAGAGTTGTCTAGGCTACATATGTCAAATATCAGTGTGAGTTTGGAGATTGGGTTGTTCTGCATTATGACTGGTATATATTAGTATTCTCTTGACTTCATTATCAAAAGCAAACCAAACAAGCTAGTTTGAAAGAGACCTCCAATTTTGCTTTGGATTCATACAAGCAAATTCCTTTAAAAAATTTCTGGGAATAGAGAGGTTTCTGGGTTCTTGGCATATTCCATTGATCTTACTTATGAATAGAGAAAAGGTCAAGGATTTTGCTTATTTGTTTTCCATAGGCACTCTAAATTTTCAAAGATTTGGAGACTTTTAAGGGACTTTTAAGAGACACTTAATTTGTTACAGATGCATTAACATATTGAATTTATGTGGAAGAGTGGAGGCCAGGGAAAGGATATTGGGTTCATTATTTATTAGTAGAGCTAGTCAAAACTTCCCTGTTTTAACCAAGTGGTGGTTTGGCTCCTATTCAAGAAGCCATCTCTTAATATTGCTGTCCTCAGCAATTAATGTACACTGAGAGGGTGGGTGTGCCCTTATTATACTCAACCATACTGGATTCTAGACTGTGGGTCTATCTCTCCTCTCTCCAAACTGGACATGACCCTTTTGTGTAATTACCTCAAAATATGTGCTATTCCTGCTTTCTACTCAAAATGAAACTCATTAGGGAGGCCTGCAAATTGTGCAGGATCTGAGCCCCTCTCCTTGTCTAGCCTCATTTCCCATCAGATCCCCCATGCTTTCTTTTCCTGGTACACTGGCCTTTTTCCAGTGCCTCACATGCTTCCTCCTCCTTGATGGAAAACTGTTCCCTGATGGCCTCATGGACTACTCCTGCTCCATTCCTGCCTTCGCAGGAAAACAAGTGTTTTTCCTGATGGTGGCACTTTGGTTATGATCAGCTGTCATAGTACCATGTTCTTCACACCACTGTCTCAATTTTACATTTATTTATCTTTTATTTGATTGGCTTTCTACTCCACTACTTACAGAGGTCCATGAGGTCAGAGATAGGGTTCAGTTTTGATCATTTATATATCTGCAGTACTGAAGAACTTGCCTGGTATTAAGTGTCCAGTAAATATCTGTAGAACGAATGAATAAATGCATGAGTGAATGAATGAATGTATAACATAAGGTTCACTTGACTTGTACCCAAAACTTTTGTATATCAGGTTGATGTTTTTATTAAGTCCATACTTTCAGGTGCATCTGCATCTCTTCTCTTGGATTGTTAAATTTCTAGAGGGTAAAGACTAGCTTTCTATGTTTGTCCTGTCTAGTCCTCAGCACAGTTTCAGACAGAGATCAGAGACAGGGCCACATCTATGAGGTTGCAAAACAGAACAGAGAACATAATAACACATTTCCATCTTCTTCCTGTACAGCTGGAATTTATTTAAATTAAAGAACTGGAGAAGAAGCAGAGATGGCCCCCTAAAGCAAAGTTGGCGGGGGAGGTACATAGGAAAGGTGTGTGGTGTGTGGACCTCGGTTGATGGCTCATCTGAATTTCAAGGCTGAGTTGATGCATAAAAGGCCTTTGGCTTTCTCTGAACACCAGTCTGCAGTGGCAAGCTTCATGTGTTATCACTGTAAGGGAGAGCATGTATCCTGTCTCCATTGGAATCGTAACTGTCAAAGTCATATGGCATTAGCTATGCAAATTGCTGAGCATAGGCAGTGTGTTCTGCAAGAATATAAATCAGAAAAGTAAACGTTACTGTGCCGTGTTCCAGTTACCCATCCTTCCCTTTATTGTCCCAAACTTATTCATATGGTGCCTCTTCCCCATTGTAAGTGCTTAGAGTCACTCCAGTTCTAAGGCCCAACCACACTGGCTGGCCCAAAAGACAGCTGTTGATGGTGCCCGTAAGTGACTCCCATTTAAATAATTGCCCATATCCCTGGAGTTTCCTGTTGGATTAGCTCTGGCTGAATCCAAAGTTTCTCTTTCAAATTGGCCTTTATTCTAGAAACAGAAGCTAGAATCCGGTATTAAAACAAGTTTTATAAAATTTTCTCACTTATTTTCACTATCATCTGTTGTGCTTTCATGAGTATTTTTCTTTAAAACTGTGTTCTTGGGCAATTTAATACAATAATTCCATTTTACTGTGTCTTCTACCCACATTTGTCTGTGTAGAGCTTTTACTGCTGTATTGAATGAGACAATCTTTTTTAATAAGAAAAGTTCATCTTACTGCTGGTGACGAGTAAGTGGAAAACATGATTTTATCAAGCAATTTCTTCTCTTTTCTATCCATTGCTTGCCAAATTTAGAAACAAAAATGGGAATATCTCACACTTTGCAAATGAATCCTTGTGGTAAATAGAACCTTAGTCCTTTTTTACCGCACTGCATATGATAGTGCTTTTAAAAGCATTTAAGCATAGGTAATAATGTTTCTCAAAGACTGGAACTATTGATTTATAAAGTTAGGTGTGAGTAAAATCTAAAGATAAATAGCATATCATTAAAAAGTGAAATAATATTATTTTAATTCATACTTGACAATTTTTCGAAAGAATGTTAAGCTCTTACATAAATATATGGCCTCCCCAGCTGTTCAAATAGTATGATTAATTAAATGGATTCTGTCTGAAAACCAACACTGGTTCTTGTTCTCAAATTGCAAATATGTCCAATGTAAAGGAAAATGGAAAAGTATTCCTCTGGTATCTACTGCATTTGAGGTAAAGAATTAATATTGTTGAAATTCCAAAGTGTTCCTTAGATGTATGTGTGTCTGTGTTTGTGCCCACACCTGTATGTGTGGTTGTGTGTGTATCCATTATATACATATATATATTTTTTAATGGCAGGAAATTTTATTTATAAGAAACTGCTCTATTTGCCAATCTTACCTATCCAGAATAAAGCCAAGAACCTATTATAAGTCAACAGAAAAGACTTCTTAGAAGCCCAGATAAAGGTGGGCTTCTAAGTCTACTCATTACATCGAATGCATTTAAATATAGAAAAAATAAACCACATAGACCTTCAGTGAGAATATTACTGTTTTTATTTTACTACAAGGTAAATAACTTGTCTGAAGGGTGTAAAGCATTAAGGGGTTTCCAAGGCAAATTGCAATGGTTGATTGGGACTAGAAAGTGCAAGGCCTTAATTCAGTATAGATTAGGGAGTCAAAGAAAATTACTGAGTTGGAAAGATACATGTTTAGACATGTTCTTTAGGAAAATTAACCTGAAGTGCATAGAATATATTGCAGAGGCTGGAAACCCAAGACAGTTATGAGACTACTGCATTAGTCCAGATGCTATGGGGTTAGTCCAGATAAGTAACAACAAGGTTCTGAATGAGGGTATGGAGAGGACAATATAAGTCTTAAGAGACCTAAGAGATATGGCAGAAGTAGAATAAAAAGCACTTGGGAATTGTTTCAGTTGGGGCATAAGAGAAAAATCAAATATATCTTTTTTTTTCTTTTTTGAGACGGATTTTCGCTCTTGTTGCCAAGGCTGTAGTGCAATGGTGCAATCTCAGGTCACAGCAACCTCCACCTCCTAAGTTGAATCGATTCTCCTGCCTCAGCCTCCCAAGTAGCTGGGATTACAGGCATGTGCCACCATGCCCAGCTGATTTTTGTATTTTTAGTAGAGATGGGGTTTCACCAGGTTGGCCAGGCTGGTCTCGAACTCTTGATCTCAGTTGATCTGCACTCCTTCAGACTCAGATACATCTTTAAAAATTCAAGTCTATGAAAGTAAAATCATTATGCTACTGGCAGAGTAGGAACAGGTTTGGGTGGGTGTGGAGGAAGATGGTGAATTCCAATTTGCAATTTAAGGTGCACATAGAACCTCCAAGAGGAGACGTCTCATAGGAGCTGAAGATGCAGAGCTGGACTATCTCTAGGACCAGGCATAAACGTGAAACCCATAATAGCTAACATTTACTGAGCACTTACAAAGTATGAGGTACTTTCCTATGTGTTGTTATGTATTAAAAATTTACAATTCTCCCATGAGGTAAGTACTATGTTTAATTTATTTTAAAAATGTATTTAAAATTGAATTTTAAAATGTAATAGTAATACATAATTATTGTAAAAATTCAAGTCATAGGTAAGCTGAAAATTCAAAAGAAAAAAAAGGGAGTAGTAAGTTAAGCAAATAACTTGTTTTTGTTTTAAAAAATATTTGTAGTAAATTAGAATCAATTTAAAAGAAAGACTTTTCAAGAGGAAGTTAATAGCTTCGTAGAAAAGGAGAAAACATCAAAAATACAAGAAGTAGAAAAAGGAACAAAAACAAATATACCTCCAAGAACAATAAAACCCAATAAACCTACAGCAATCTTGGCCTCTCTAGAATAGAAACAGTCCTCACTTGACTAAGATCTGGGGTTCTCACTCTGTAATATCCTAGTAGATAACTGATGTTAAAATAATACCAATAAAAAAGTGAAATGATTTTTATGTAATTTTTTAGGAAGGCAGAAAAAAATCTAGATTCTATTGTACTTTAAATCAAAGATCTTTTACTCAATGGATAAAATTGTAATGTAATCAATAAAGCCAGCAAGACTGCATGAATTATTCCATGGTAGTTCCATGCTGTCAGATTTCTTATTATGTTCATAGCAAGCTAGATGGCAGACCTTCCTTTTCAGGAAAGCAGGAACTGGGCCAAGGTTGAAATTCTACTAGCAGGGGCTGATATTAGAATAGGTGTGGTTTTTCTGCACTTGGAGGGCTCTAATTAAAGGGAAATTAGAATCAAAGTCTGGGATGAGGGCTGGGGTGGGCCCAGGAAGTAAGGGACGCTCCAAAGCATCCAGTCCGAGGGTAATGGAAGAAAAAAACAAAAATAAGATTTAAAGCAATAGATCACACTAGAAAGCTGCAGGCAAGAAGGAGTAATGGGGTTTGAGAGAAGGGACCAGAAAGATTCCCAGAAGCAATTGGATGTCGAAGATCAAGACTTTTCTAGGATAACTAGGGTCAAGCAAAAGGGCAAGGAGGGAATACTGGGGGCTCAATTCTCTCTCTAAGCAAAGAAATGGAAGTTAGTCTCATGAATACAAATGAAAAAAATCCAGAATTTATAGAGAATGTAGAGAAATACTTGGAAGGCAAGAAGCACCATGAATATATATGTGTGTGATGGTTAATACTGAGTGTCAACTTAATTGGATTGAGGGATACAAAGTATTAACCCTGGGTGTGTCTGTGAGGGTGTTGCCAAAAGAGATTAACATTTGAGTCAGTGGGCTGGGGAAGGCAGATCCACCCTTAATCTGGTGGATCTAATCAGCTTCCAGTGAATATAAAGCAGGCAGAAAAATGTGAAAAAGAGAGACGGGCCTAGCCTCCCAGCCTACATCTTTCTCCCATGCTGGATGCTTCCTGCCCCTGAACATCAGATTCCAAGGTCATCAGTTTTGGGACTTGGACTGGCTCTCCTTGCTCCTCAGCCTGCAGATGGCCTATTGTGGGACCTTGTGATCATGTAAGTTAATACTTAATAAACTCATATATATGGCCTATTAGTTCTGTCCCTCTAAGAGAACGCTGAACCCTGACTACAGATTTTAGTACCAGGAGTGGTTCTAGAGGAACAGAGTGTTAAGGATGGAATTCTTCCATTGGTTTTGGGGTTTCTGGAGTTGGCTGCTTAATATGATTAGACCCCAAAATGTCAAGGACTCTACTTCTAATAGTATAGACAACACCGATAGTCCGTGGCATGAACTGTTTAGAGAGTTATGCAAAATAAATGCATTTGACACTCCTGATTCACCTCTCGTGAGAGGCAAGAAGTTTAGTGACTCTATACATAAGTGAGGGCATTGATTGGAAAAGAAGGGGACCCTGAAACTTGTAATGGGGACATGTGGGAGGACCCTGGTGAAGCTGGGGACACTGAGTTTGTAAACTCTCATGAACCTTTTTTGCCAGAAAGAACAGCTTCCCCATCCCCAGTAGAGGCAACACCCCATCCCTGACCCAGGCTGCCATCAGCCTTTCCACCTTTGCCTGAAGAGATAAACCCTGCGCTGCCTGAGGCAACAGTGATGGCCTCCCCTGAGGCAGCTGCCAGGCAAGATAATATTGATTCTCCTCAGAAGCCACCCTCAACACCTCTGTTTGCTTCTAGACCTATAAATAGGCTGAAGTCCCGGTGGGCCCCTAGAGGGGAGGTTGAGAGTGTGACCCATGAGAAGGTGCACTACACTTGAAAAGAACTGTTTGAGCTTTCTAATTTATATAAACAGAAATCTGGAGAACAGGCATGGGAATGGATATTAAAGGTATAGGATATTGGTGGAAGGCACAAGGAGTTGGATCAGGCTGAATTTATCGATTTGGGACAACTAAATAGGGAATCTGCATTTAATGTTGCCCCTCGAGGAGTTAAAAAGGTTGTGACAGTTTACTTGCTTGGTTAGCTGAAATATGGTTTAAAATATGGCCCACTGTAAGTGAGCTGGAAATGCCTGATCTCCCTTGGTTTAATGTAGAGGAAGGGATCCAAAGGCTTAGGGAGATTGGGATGATGGAGTGGATTAGTCACTTTAGACCTATTCATCCCAGCTGGGAAGGTCCAGAAGATATACCCCTGACCAATGCCTTGCGAAATAGATTTGTGAGGGCAGCACCTGCATCTTTGAAGAGCCTTGTAATTGCTTTTCTCTATATGTCAGATTTAACAGTGGGAATTGGAGTCACTCAGTTACAAAATTTAAATACAATGGGAATAATTGGCAGGAGCCAAGTGGCAGGACTCAACTGTCAAAGTCAAGGTGGGCATAGCTACCGTAATGGACAGCAGAGGCAAAGTGGCAATCAGAAGAGTCTGACTTGTGTAGAGCTCTGGCATTGGCTAATTAATCATGGTGTTCCTAGAAGTAAAATTGTTGAGAAGTGTACTGCATTCCAACTTAAATTATACAATCAGAAAACTTCGAGGTTGAATGAACAAAAGACTAATTTGAATTATAAAAACAGAGAATCACAGCCCCTCAGTCAATTTCCAGGCTTGAGCCAGTTTACAGACCAAGAACCCCTTGAATGAAGGGGAGGCTGTGTCCCCTTGAGGAAGGACCCCACTACATTACCGACAATTTATGTGTGAATCTTTCTCCCATCCTTCCCCAAGGAGGCATGAGGCCTTTTACCAGGGTAACTGTGCAATGGGGAAAGGGAAATGATCAGACATTTCAGGGATTACTGGACACTGGCTCTGAGCTGACGCTGATTCCAGGGGACCCAAAATGTCATTGTGGGCCTCCAGTTAAAGTAGGGGCTTATGGAGGTCAGGTAACTAGTGGAGTTTTAGCTCAGGTCTGACTTACAGTGGGTCCAGTGGGTCCCCAGACTCGTCCTGTGGTCATTTCCCCAGTGCCAGAATGCATAATTGGCATAGACATACTTAGTAGCTGGCAGAACCCCCACATTGGCTCCCTGACTGGTAGGGTGAGGGCTATTATGGTGGGAAAGGCCAAACGGAAGCCATTAGTGCTTCTCTACCTAGAAAAATAGAAAATAAAAAACAACATTGCATCTCTGGAGGGATTGCAGAGACTAGTGCCACCATCAAGGACTTGAAAGATGCAGGAGTGGTGATTCCCACCACATCCCTGTTCAACATTCCCATTTGGCCTATGTAGAAGACAGATGGATCTTAAAGATGCAGGAGTGGTGATTCCCACCACATCCCTGTTCAACATTCCCATTTGGCCTATGTAGAAGACAGATGGATCTTTGAGAATGATAGTGGATTATCATAAACTTAACCAAGTGGTGACTGCAATTGCAGCTGCTGTACCAGATATGGTTTCATTGATAGAGCAAATTAACACATCTCCTGGTACCTGGTATGTAGCCATTGACTTGGCAAGTGCCTTTTTCTCCATTCCTGTCCATAAGGCCCACCAGAAGCAGTTTCCCTTTGGCTGGCAAGGCCAGCAATATACCTTTACTGTCCTATCTCAGGGGTATATCAACTCTCCAGCTTTATGTCATAATCTTATTCAGAGAGACGTTGATCGCTTCTTGCTTTCAAAAGATATCACACTGGTCCATTACATTGGTGACATTATGCTGATTGGATCCAGTGAGCAAGAAGTAGCAAACACACTGGACTTATTGGTGAGACATTTGCATGCCAGAGGTGAGAAATAAATCTGACTAAAATTCAGGGACCTTCTACCTCAGTAGAATTTCTAGAGGTCCAGTGGTTGTGGGGCCTGTCAAAATACTCCTTCTAAGGTAAAGGATAAATTGCTGCTTTTGGCCCCTCCTACAACCAAGAAAGAGGCACGCCTAGTGGACCTATTTGTAGGCAACACATTCTTCATTTGGGTGTGTTACTCCGGCCCATTTATCAAGTGACCTGAAAGGCTGCCAGTTTTGAGTGGGGTCCAGAACAGGAGAAGGCTCTGCAACAGGTCCAGGCTGCTGTCCAAGCTGCTCTGCCACTTGGGCAATATGACCCAGCAGATCCAATGGTGCTTGAGGTGTCAGTGGCAGATAGGGATGCTGTTTGGAGCCTTTGTCAGGCTCCCATAGGTGAATCACAGTGGAGGCCTCTAGGAGTTTGGAGTAAGGCCCTGCCATCTTCTGCAGATAACTACTCTCCTTTTGAGAGACACCTCTTGGCCTGTTACTGGGCTTTGTTGGAAACTGAATGTTTGACTATGGATCATCAAGTCACCATTTGACCTGAACTGCCTATCATGAACTGGGTGCTTTCTGACCCATCAAGCCATAAAGTGGGTCATGCACAGCAGCATTCCATCATCAAATGGAAGTGGCATATGCCTGATCAGGCTTGACAAGTCCTGAAGGCACAAGTAAGTTACATAAGGAAGTGGCTCAAATGCCCATGGTCTCCACTCCTGCCACTCTGCCTTCTTTCCCCCAGCCTGCACCAATGGCCTCATGGGGAGTTCCCTATGATCAGTTGACAGAGGAAGAGAAGGCTAGGGCCTGGTGCACAGATGGTTCTGCATGATATGCAGGCACCACGTGAAAGTGGACAGCTGCAGCACTACAGCCCCTTTCTAGGACATCCCTGAAGAATGGCGATGAAGGGAAATCTCCCTGGGGGAAGAACTTAGAGCAGTGCACCTGGTTGTGCACTTTGCATAGAAGGAGAAATGGCCAGATGTGCGATTATATACTGTTTCATGGGCTGTAGCCAATGATTTGGCTGGATGGTCAGGGACTTGGAAGAAGCATGATTGAAAAATTGGTGACAAAGAGATTTGGGGAAGGGTTATGTGGATGGACCTCTCTGAGTGGTCAAAAACTGTGAAGACATTTGTGTCCCATGTGAGTGCTCATCAATGGGTGACCTCAGCGGAGTAGGAGTTCAATAATCAAGTGGATAGGATGACCCGTTCTGTGGACACAACTCAGCCTCTTTCCCCAGCCACCCCTGTCATCACCCAATGGGCCCATGAACAAAGTGGCCGTGGTGACAGGGATGGAGGTTATGCATGGGCTCAGCAACATGGACTTCCACTCACCAAGGCTGACCTGGCTATGGTCACTGCTGAGTGCCCAATTTGCCAGCAGCAGAGACCAACACTGAGCCCTTGATATGGCACCATTCCTCGGGGTGATCAGCCAGCTACCTGGTGGCAGGTCGATTATATTGGACCTCTTTCATCATGGAAAGGGCAGAGGTTTGTCCTCACTGGAATAGACAATCTGGATATGAGTTTGCCTATCCTGCACGCAGTTCTGCCAATAGTACCATCCGTGGACTTATGGAATGCCTTATCCACCATCATGGTATTCCACACAGCATTGCCTCTAACCAACTTTACAGCTAAAGAAGTGTAGCAGTGGGCTCATGCTCATGGAATTCACTAGTCTTACCATGTTCCCATCATCCTGAAGCAGCTGCATTGATAGAACAGTGGAATGGTCTTTTGAAGTCACAATGACAATGCCAACTAGGTGACAATAACTTGCAGGGCTGGATCAAAGTTCTCCAGAAGGCCATGTATGCTCTGAATCAGGGTCCAATATATGGTACTGTTTCTCCCATAGCCAGGATTCACGGGTCCAGGAATCAAGAGGTGGAATTGGAAGTGGCACCACTCACCATCACCCCTAGTGATCCACTAGCAACATTTTGCTTCCTGTTCCCACGGCATTACATCCTGCTGGCCTAGAGGTCTTAGTTTCAGAGAGAAGAACACAGCCACCGGGAGACACAATGATTCCATTAAACTGGAACTGAAGATTGCCACCTGGACACTTTGGGCTTCTCCTACCTTTAAGTCAACAGGCTAAGAAGGGAGTTACAGTACTGGCTGGGGTGACTAACCTAGATTATCAAGATGAAATCAGTCTACTACTCCACAATGGAGGTAAGGAGGAGTATGCATGGAATACAAAAGATCCCTTAAGGTGTCTCTTAGTATTACCATGCCCTGTTATTAAGGTTGATGGGAAACTATAACAGCCCAATTCAGGCAGGACTACAAATGATCCAGACCCTTCAGGAATGAGGGTTTGGGTCACTCCACCAGGAAAAAAACAAAAACCTGCTGAGGTGCTTGCTGAAGGCAAAGGGAATACAGAATCTGTAGTAAGCATCTTTTCATGTGCCTGTTGGCCACTTGTATGTCTTCTTTGGAGAAATGTCTATTCAGGTTTTTTGCACATTTTAAAATCCAGTTATTTGGGGTATTTTTGCCATGAAGTTGTAGGATTCCACATAGATGAGGTATCTATAATAGTCAAACTCATAGAAGCAGAGAATGCGATAGTGGTTGCCAGGGGCTGGGTGAGTAGGAGAAATGGGGAGTTGTTCAATGGGTGTAAAGTTTCAGGAGTTTAAGCCTGCAGTGAACTGTAATTACACCACTGGACTGCACTGTGGTTGGCAAAGTGAGACCCTGTCTCTACAAAAAAAGAAAGAAGAAAGAAAGGAAGACAGAAAAAAAGAAAGAAAGAAAGAAAGAAAGAAAGAAAGAAAGAAAGAAAGAAAAGAAAGAAAACTATAGATTAATATGTCTTATGAACATAGATACAAAAGTTCTCAGCAAAACAACAAAACATAAGCAAATTAAATTGAGCAATATATGTGAAGAATTCTATACCATTGCCAAGGGGTGTGTATCCTAGAAATGCAAGGCTGGCTCAACATTCAAAAATTAATATAATTCACCAGATTAATGGATACATAAGAAAATCCATGTGATCCTATCAATAGATGAAGAAGCAGCATTTGACAAAATTAAAAAAAATGATTAAAAACTCTCAACAAGCCATAAATAGAAGGGCATCAAAAAAATAAATACATTTAAAAAGTCCTTCAGCTAATATGGTATATCTAATGGGAAAAGACTGAATGATTTTCTTTTAAGTTTATTACTAGTGAAGATGTCTATTGTCAGCATTCCTACTTAATATTGTATTAGAAGTCCTAGAAAGTGCAATAAGGCAAGAAAAATAAATAAAAGGCACTCAGATAGAAATGGAAGCATAAAGCTATACTTCAAGATGTGTAAAATCCTAAGTAATCTACAAAAAAGCTCCTAAAACTAATAAGTGAGTTTAGCAAGGTCACAAACTACAAAGTCAACATCCAAAAATCAGTTAGTTTTCTATACTCTAGGAAAGAACATGTGGAAACTAAAATTTTTTAAAAGTAACATTTACAATACCTTCAAAAAAGTAAAATTTTAGGTATAAATCTAATAAAATATATGCAAGATCTCAACCCATACCTCATACCTTATATAAAAATTCACTCGATATAGATCTAAATACACAATATAGAACTATAAAACTGTTAGAAGAAAACATAGGAGAAAATCTTCATGATCTTGGGCTAGTCAAAGAATTCTTAAATACTACACCAAAAGCACAATCCAAGAAAAAAAGAAAGACAAATTGGACTTTCTCAAAATTAAAAATTTTGTTCTTCAAAGGATATTGCTAAGAAGATAAAAACATAAGCCACAGATTTGGTAAGAATATTTGCAAATCACATATTTGACGAAGGACTTGTATCCAAAATATAGAAAAAGCTTTCAAAACTCAACAATAAGAAAACAACTGAATAAAAGCTTAGGCAAATGATGAGACAATATTTCATCAAAAAGGATATGCAGGTGGGAAATAAGTACATGAAAAGATGCTCAATAACATTAGCCACTAGGGAAATGCAAATGAAAAGCACAATTAAGTTGCCACTGCATGCCTATTAGAATGATTAAAAAAGCACTGAAAATAGTCTGCTGACAAGGGTGTGGAACAGTTAGGTTTCTCATGTATTGCTCATGGGAATGCAAAATGGTACAGCCCTTCTGGCAGTTTCTGAGTTAAAAGTTAAACATAGACCTTGCATATGATCCAGCAATCCCATTTCTAACTATTTAGCCCAAAGAAATGAAAACCTATTTTTGAAAAGAAACCTCTACATATACACTCAAAATAGCCTTATTCAAAATCACCAAAAACTGGAACCAACCCCAAAATATGTCAATGGATGAGTAATCCATGCAATAGAATACTACTCAGTCATAATAAGTTACAAACTATTAATACATACATCATGAATGAATCTCAAATATATGACGGTAATTGAAAGAAACCAGTCTCAAAATGTTGAATACTGTATGATTCTGTTTATATGATACTCTGACATAAGCAAAACTGTAGGTTTAGAGAATAGATCAGTGGTTGCTAGGGTTGGTGGGTATAGAGCTCTGACTTCTGATGGTCAGTACAAGAACATGCTTTGGGATGTTGAAGTTAAGCTAAATCCACTTGTGGTGGTGATTACAAATATCTGTGTGTGTGCTGAAACCCATATAACTGTAAACAAGACAAAATGTTACTCTGTGTAACAAAAATATAAATTTAAAATGGCAATGACCATTTTATTGCTTACAATTTTTTGAGTCAGGAATTTGGCAGGGTTCAGCCAGGTTCAGCTGACCATATGGTGTCAATTCAGCTGGGACTGAAGAATCCAAGATGGCCTCACTAGTGTGTCTGGGTCTTGATGCTGGCTATTAGCCAAAGGACCTTAGTTCTCCTCCATGTGGCATCTCTTTCTACCTGGTTTACTATCCTAGGATTTCTCTCTGCATATGTCCTCTCTCTTCAGCAAGACAGCTTAAACTTCTTACATAGCAGTTGGGTTATGAGAGCAAAAGTGGAAGCTATAAGGCCACTTAAAGACCTGGTTTTAGAAATTCTAGAATGTTACTTCCATTGCATTATGTTAGTCTTGTCCAGATTAAGGAGAAGAGAAATAGTTTCTACCATTTGCTGGGAGGTGCAGCAAAATATCATTACATAGGAGTATGGACACAAAGAGACATGATTCATTGGCAGGGGGAGGTGGGAGGAGGAGCATAGGGAACACATTGTCAGTTCTCACACTGCTATAATGAACTACCTGAGACTGGGTAATTTATGAAGAAAGGAGGTTTAATTGACTCACAGTTCTGCAGGCTGTACAGGAAGCATGGCTGGGAGGCCCTTCATGGTGAAAGGGCGAAGGGGAAGCAAGCACTTTCTTCACATGGCAGAGTGGGAGAGAGAGAGTGAGTGAAGGGGGAAGCACTACACACTTGCAAACAACCAGATCTCCTGGGAACTCTATTATGAGAACAGCAAGGGGGATGTCTGCCCCATCATGATTCAATCATCTCCCACCAGGCCCCTCCTTCAACACATGGGGATTACAATTTGACATAAGATTTGAGTGGGGACACAGAGCCAAACCATATCAATGAATATTCTAAACAGCAGGAACAGCATGTGCAAAGACTCCTAAAGAGCTGAAATAAGAGGAGGTGAAAAGAAAGCATGGTGGCTGATGATGAATGAAAAGAAGTTTCAATAGAGATGAGGCTAGGGAAGAACCTAGAGCAAGATTATGTGGGACATGTAGGCTAATGTTACGGGTTTGATTTTATTCTAAGTGAAAGCCGTTAAAATAATTCAAGCAGGAAAGATCTGATATGATCTGTCTTTTCAAATGGTGGTGCTGGCTCCTGTGTAAATTCCTATATTCATTAATTAGTTACCTGAAGAGAAACACTCTATTCGAAGGTACCCAAATGTAGAATGCATAAAAACACATCCCATTGCAGTTTAAGGTGAAATAATTCACATCACATGTTTTCACACACATTTCATTCAACACATATTTGAGAGACTAACATGTGTCAACCACTTTGGTTTAAAAGGCAAATGAATATCATAAATGCTAGCTGTAGTCTTTTTGAAGTCCAGTGAAACCAAAAACAAAGTTTGAATGTCTTGGGAGGGATGAGATATTTTTTCCCACCCACAAGTCAAGTTTTTAAATCATTTACAACAAATACTCTTGTTTGCTTTTAAGACTGGAACTAAAAGAGCAAGTCTACCACCTGGCAAGATAGTGACAATCCATGAAGAGTATGTTGTGTAGGGCTGCACCTTTATTTTTAAGCGCACAGATTGGGGAGAGATGGAAGAAGGATGACAGAAGAAATGCAGACATATTGAGTTCTCAGCAGAGCAGTGCTATATGACCAGCCATATGTCATCTGTGTAGGTGCAAAAGTATAACTAAATATATGAAAGGAAAATATGGAATCATGCTTCACAGTGTGTTAGACAAAACACTTTAAGAAATCAAAATCGGCATGATTCACTGAGCATTTATTATGTGCCGAACATTATTGTAAACTCTGGGGCATAGAAAAGAAATATTAATATAATGTGATATAGAAACAATGTTAGGAAGTAGAGAGTCAGGAGATGGGATTCTGGTCCCATCTCTGCCATTAACTTGGTGTGGAAAGTAGAGCTAGTTATTTGTCCTCTATGGATCTCTGTTTTCTGATTATGCATATTGCTTCCAGCTATGACATTCCATAAGCTCTACTTCCTACCATTGAGTTTACAACCCAGAATTGCTGGAGAACATGACTTAGACAAATGAGGAATCAGATTTCAGTTTGATTCTACCAATGTTTATTGAAAATATTTTCATCTGAAAGTCAAAGTTATGTGGAACTTTGCAGTAAGTGGGTGGATCAAAATACTCAGGCTCACTTTCTATCTTTTTATTGACTGAACTAAGATGATTGTGTTTTTCATTGCAAATTTAAATTTTGAATTCCACTTTTTTAAAAAAAAATCATATTATGTATAATCTTTTTTTTTGGTGACAGGCTAGAGAAAAGGATGCTTGGGTGGCAATTGAAATAGAAATCCACTTTCAAATACTATTACCACGTATTTAGGGGGGAATAAACTTCGAAGAAACACTTTGCTTGTTTAGAACATCATTGTTTGCTAAAAGGTTAATGAAACTCAACTAGAAGTTGAATAAAGAAGAAAATCAATCAATGTCTCCCTTCCCCCATCACCATTATCAGCACCTTCAGGATGAAAAATATAGAAGTCCTGTTATTTTGTGCCTGTTGATTCACATTTTCCCAGGACTCTGGTAGACACAACAGGATTTGAGATGAAGGATATTTCAAATCTATTCCAAAGGTTTTTTCAATGATTGGGGGGTTTCCTGGTTATCTTATTTATATACATACCTGTTTTTACTGTAGCTACTGTGTGCCTGGTGCTAGCTTTATGTTTGTAAATGTCATTTTCACACCTATGAATAAAGGCATGGAGATAGAATTTACCTAACAACAAATATTTGATTATATTAACTATGTTCCTTAACTAGTGTGAGGAACTGGTGAAGTGTAGTGAATATGACAGACATGGTTCTTGACCTTAAGCTTAAGGAGGGGAGATGAAGAGCAAGTGATTATGAGTACGATGAGTGTATCAAAAGGCAGAAGCAGAGAGCTAAGGCCTGTTTAGCAAAGGAGCTGACCTGGTACTGTTTATGGTCTGAGGACAATAAGAACAGTCATATTCAAGTAGAGACCTGTTGTATAGTAAGGAATTTGGTTAAACTTTGGTCCCTGGGAGGTAACCTCTAAGTCTAAAGTATTTTCTGAGTGAGGGGAATGTCTTTGTTATTCATGGATGCCCTCTCCTTGACCATGACTGAGTTTATGCTAATGAGATGACTTAGAATGGGGACTGGCTACTCTGGAAGGACCAATCGTGTGATTAGAGCATTGCGGTTTGATCTGTGTGATGTCAGGCTAACCTGTGGGGAGGGGAGGAGCCTTAGAGATGGAGTTCAATCATGTACTAATATCAATCATGTCTATATAATGAAACCCCAATAAGAACTATGGACACCTGGAGCTCAGTTGAACTTCCCGGTTAGTGATGCACATTGATATGCTGGGAGGGTGATGTGTCCTGAAGATGTGGAAGCTCTGTATCTGGGACCCTCCCACACCTCACCCCATGTGTCTTTTCATTGTTGGTCCCAATTTGTATCTTTTATATAAAACTGTAGTTATAAATATGGTGCTATTCTGAGTTTTGTGAGTTGTTAAAATGAATTACAGTACCAAGGGAGTAGTGAGAACCCCAGAATTTGTAGCCAGTTAGAAATGCAGGTGGCCTGGGAACCCCAGAGCTTATGGCTGGTGTCTGAGAAGAGGAGAATCTTATGGAGGACTCTGCTTTTAACCTGTGAAATTTGACCTAACTTTGGGTAGGTAGGTGTTGGAATTGACCTAACTCTGGGTAGATAGGTGTTGGAACTGAATTTCCTATTATTCAGTTGGATTGCAGGGATAAGCAAGATGGGTATGGTTTCTTCCCTGTCAGAGTGACTAGTCATTGCCTCAATACCTGTACCATTGGGTAAATTTAATTTTTACTTTAAACGAGATTATGTTTAAATAGCCTGAGGGAAGAGGGCAAATCACCAAAAGGCAGCTGATTGCATGGGGATAGAGGGGGCTGGGAGTGAATTTTGCCTTGCTGTTAGGAGAATAGATGGCTGAATGGAGGTGAAACGTTATGAATAGATGGTAGGCATGTGAGAGTCAAATGATTTTTAGCATTAGGTAGTGATCTTGCTGAAGTAGCCCCTACAGAAACATGTGTGTGGATTTTGTGCCTGAATGACGAGGAGCATTGCCCCTCACCTCCCCTCTCCTGACTATACAGGGAACCACACACCAGTTTCACAGCATACTTATCCTATGTGACCTCCAGATTGCAACTGGAGAATTCAAGCAGAGAAAGAGATTAAATTGGCTGGACAGGGTAACATTAAACATGAATAAAGACTATACTTAATGTTTCAAAGCTTGGTGGACCTCCAGAACCATTTGAGGGTACTTTGTGAACGTACAGATTCTACCCTAGACTTTTTTTTATCTTTCTTTTTTTTTCTGAGACAGAGTCTCACTCTGTTGCCCAGGCTGGAGTGCAGTGGCGCGATCTCGGCTCACTGTAACCTCTGCCTCCCGGGTTCACGCCACTCACCTGCCTCAGCCTCCCGAGTAGCTGGGACTACAGGTGCCTGCCACCACGCCCGGCTAATTTTTTATATTTTTAGTAGAGAGGGGGTTTCACCATGTTAGCCAGGGTGGCCTCAATCTCCTGATCTCATAATCCACCTGCCTTGGCCTCCCAAAGTGCTGGGATTACAGGCGTGAGCCACTGCACCTGGCCCCTAGACTTTTAAAATCAGACTTTTTAAAGGAGGATACTTAAGAATAGGGCTTCCAAGGTGATTCTGAGGGGCTGCCAAATCTGAAAACATCTGGTCTACCTGATTGTCAAACAAGGATGTCTCACAAAGCCTCAAAGAGATTTGTTATCAACAATTACCATTTTGCTTTGCTGTCAGGATATTATTCTTCTGAATGGACCAGTTTCATTTCTAAAGCTATAGATGTAGAGGATCTTGCTTTCCTCTTCTCCCGTCTGTGGATTTTTATTTTCAGCTTCATTCATTGGCATCTGAAATCTTGGGAGTTAAGATGTGTTTTTCTTTTTTTTCCTTTTTTTTTTTTTTTGTTGGGGGAGTAGGAGTGTCAAGTCTGCCTTGTATGGTAAAAATAGAGTGGGTGCTTTTGGAGAAAATTTCAAGGATGGGGTGGAAGGTAGATTTTAGCCATCAAAATCATTTGAGCTAACCAAATCAACAATAAATCACAAACTCCAGATTTTTGTTTAAAGGGGAGGAGACCAAGGCAGTGGATGTGCAAATTAGCCAGGCCACGACTTGCTGGCTCTCGTTCATTTTGTAAACAAAAGCAGGCCTGAATTCAATCAAACATTACTTGTTAAAGTAAACTAGCAAAAAGCTGGTGAAAATTAAAGTAGAACAGAAGATGGTTTCAATAATTTCATTCTCCAGCTTTTAGCTTAAAAAAAAAAGCAAAAACCAACAACCCACCATTCCATTCTATGGGGCATGTCCTCCCTTTCAAGACACTTTCATGAAAACCAAACAGTTTTTAGTGGGGGTTATATATATTGAAAAATGCTACCTGTAGTATTGGGTTAATTGCCTTCAGAACAAAATTCTGAATACTATATATATAACTTTGACAATATTTTTGTAGGCTTTTAGAGACTTCTTAAACAAGAGAAATGGGACTCAATGCATTGGCTAGCTGAGGGTCTATGTTGTTTGATAAATATCATGTGCCTGGTATGCTATACTTGTTTGAAGTGACACTGAGAGATTAGTTGTTTCTAGACATTTTTTGGTTAGGTCTTTAATGTACGCAGAGCTGTAGAGTTTCCCCTCAAAAATGAACGAAGCCTGAGGAGTTTTGCTCTCTGGGACTAGAAACAAGTGGACCATTGCTTTTGCCTGAGGTAAAGTGTTCCCCTAAGGTGACAGGTCTAAGCTGTCATTTCTCAAAGGGGAACAGTAGGAATACTATCTCAATCCCAGGGGAGTTCTAATTATGGAGGCTTAACTTCAAAGCTTCAGTAGAAATGCAAGTGGAGCTGTCATTTTTGGGGTTGTGGGGAGGTAAGAATCCAGAAAGCGATTGCTGAGTTTTGGGACTGTGTTTAGCTGTCCAGTTGTCCACCTAGGCCAAAAGTAATCCTGAGTCATTGCCTGAAACTCCCTCCACCTGTGTGCTTGTGTTACGTTCCAGCAACTGAAAGAGGTGTTGATTCATTTCAGGCCTACTCTTTCTGTGATTAAGTTCAACCCACCACAGAGGACTCAGGGGAACTACACTGTGGGCTCTAGGTCTGGGATTTGTTTTCTCTGTGCTTTTCTCTGTTTACTCTGCATTGTCAATTATGAGGTAGATATCACATGTGTTTAGCCGAAAAGATAATGCACAGTATCTCATAACAGTGTAGAACAAGACGGGGTAAGATTGTAGGCACAAACCAACTGTTGATGATAAGACACCAAATGAAACAACAATAGCAGCACTCCTGTGCTGCAGAATCAGCTACAGGAGGCAAACTTTGCAATGGCCTCTGTGAAAATGACTCACCATCATCAAACCATAGTTAGGAAGAGCTTGGGCTGCTTCCTACTCAGGTCTATCAGTTGACTGTCGAATACTCTCAACTTGGGGTGGATATAGAAAGTGCCCTGTCTACTCAGAGGTTTTTTGTACTGGAAGAGGATTCATTTAATGCTTAATGATAATTTGGATATAAATTAATTACCAACTAATCTGCTTGAAATTCTTCCGTTGTGGGTCTTCTTAGAGACAGTCAGCTGGATGAAATAACCTCTTGTCAATTCCCTCTTATCCTATGGGCCTATGATGACTTTTTTCAATGGCATTACAGAAGTGCAAACTGTTTTGTCCGGACCCTTTAAATATCAGCTATGGGAGGAGCTTTTTCCATTTGAGGCTTGTATTTTTGTTCTTCAAGTTGATGGTTCTATTTTGATACGTACTAACTTTTTATCCTCTATCCTGGTACTCGTCTATGGCATTGACCCAAAGACCAGTTACAAAAGTGATGGGCCTGGCAAAAGGTCCTTGAGGGGAGAATGTCCTGGCTCATACTTTAATAGTCAAAGGAAACAAGGGCAATTTCCTAGCACCCCTACCTTGATGCCTGCCCTCCTGGGGTGATCAGGAATGATATTTTCATTGTGTTATACCTCAGCTTTTACTTCTTTGTGTTTATTCCATTGCTGAAAGAATCAGAACATTACTTTTTCTAGCACACATTGTTTGTCTGAAAATACACCTGGAGAACTGCCCAATTTGGAAATGACTTAAATTACAAAAAAAGCACAGCTGTCTTTAACAGCTCTAGGAGTTCATGCAACGAGCCTACAATTTATTGAGTAGGATTAGATGCTTATTGCCTATGACACTTTAAATACCATTACATTGAAGTTTATACAAGAAAGTCCAAGTTTAAAACTGGAATCTTAGCAATAACAGCTGGGCCATTTGTTTATGTGATAGGCAGGAAAGAATGACTTCTGTAATCTTTCTGTTTGGCTGCAGGATTCTGCTTAGGGGAAAAAAATATGGGGAGGGGGAAGAAAGAAGCTAATTTCAGATTGTCAAGCTGAGCTGAACACTGCTGGCTAATTTGTCCCTCATGTTAAGACCTCTGCCAAGGTTCCTCTTGTATCCTCTTGCTCTCTCACACCTGACAAACCAGTACTTGAAATACTGTAGCCCACCTCAATGACAGCAAGGGGTATGTCACTAGCTAGCTTGCAGCTCTCTCCCCCAGGCGGCTCACATTCCGCATTTTGTTTCTAGCATGAAAGACTTTGTTTTAAATCATAATAGCAACCAGGCTGTAATCACATTAGAGCGCACATGGGGAACTTGCAAAAAGTCATGTGTTTTGGATTTGACATTCTGATTTATGGTTGTGTGCTCCAGTTACACAGCTGCAATCTCATTTTCCGACAAAGATGTTTTCTATTTTTCTATTACTTTGCTTCACCCTGTCTTTATGTTGGGGAAAATGAAAGCCACCAGGTGAAGTCATAACATAAGTAAAAATGTTTTTGTGTTTGGGTTGGAGAGCGTAGTAAATGGTGTATACTGGCATTTCAAACACAGCTTGTTATTTTTGAATAAAAATGTAAAGGGAATTGCTTACTTAAGGTAATCGCAAATTAAAGAAGTACTCAGAAATTTGTTTGTAAAACCCAGAATTATCCTCCAAACTTTCTGTCTCTATCACTCGATATTAACATCCCAAGAGGGGAGTTGGACAGTAATGTTCCATTTTGGATGTGTAGGTAAACTGAGCTCCCAGTCTGGTATGCTTATTTCACCAAACTCAAAGACGTTCAGGGTTGGGAACTTGTAAAGACAATCTCTACCAACCTATTCATTGTGCAAATGAGGAATGTGAAACAGAGATGTATAGTGACTTGCCCAAGGTCTCACAGCTGGTTAGCCACAGAGCTTATACTGGAACTCAAATTTCTTTCTTCCCAGTCCATTTTCCACCATTCCTTTTAAATGCAAGTTGAACAGCACTTTTTGTGGTAAGCTGACTACTACTATAAAGAATATTCCAAATAAGACTTCTGTTAACATAGAGAAAAGAAAACTTCTTTTACTTTTTTGTTATTTCCTCAAGTCTAACATTTTTTATTGTGAAGTGTGGTGAAAATTCAGACCCATAACTCGTTCAGCAATATACACGACACAGTATCCTATCTTGGTCTCATAACTTGGGTTATGTTATTAGCAATAAATATAACAATCTTGAACTCAGATGTATTAAGATTTAACACATTTTAATTTTTTCACAATATTTGAATAATTCCAAATATAGTTATGTTTTTGGCAATCCAATAAAATCTTGATGAAGGGATAAAAATATTTGTATAAGAACATTTAAAAATACATATAATGAAGTCATGCATGGGTATAAGCAGTTTGATTGACGTGGAGATCTCTATGAAGAATGAGAAGAACGCTGGCCAGGCGCCGTGGCTCACACCTGTAATCCCAGCACTTTGGGAGGCCGAGGCGGGTAGATCACCTGAGGTCAGGAGTTCTAGACCAGACTGGCCAACATAGTGAAACCCGTCTCTACTAAAAATACAAAAATTAGCCGGGCATGGTGGCAGGCTCCTGTAATCTCAGCTACTCGGGGGATCGAGGCAGGAGAATTGCTTGAACCTGGGAGGCAGAGGTTGCAGTGAGCTGAGATCACGCCATCGCACTCCAGCCTGGGGGCCAAAAGCAAGACTTCGTCTCAAAAAAAAAAAAAAAAAGAATGAGAAGAACAAAGAACACTAAAGCTCTATTGTTTGGGTCATTATTTTGATCCCCATTTCTCTCTCACATAGATTTGGTCTTTGCTTTAGGGGGGATTTTGGATCCTATGGTCATTAGGTCACCATAGTTTTCTCATAGGAAAGGAAATCCATATATGCAGTAATTATTTAAATATGTTTTAGTAGGATTTTCTAAATTGCAGATAATGATCAAACTGCTCCCTCTTATTCAAGGAGGAGAGAGAGAATGGGAAACCAATAGTTTTGTTTATTATTTTTAGTTGAATACTTGTAAACAGATGCTACATCAAAGTTTTAGATTCTTATATGGGAATAACACTTAGCAGTGGACATGTATAGTAGTATGTATAGTGTACTTATTTTTTGGGCTGATACCCCTCTCCCCCAGCCTCTATTCTCCCCCTTTTCTGCCAATAGCACCAAGATTTTCCTTTTGGGGAAGTTACTCCTATTCTATTCTCATCTATGAGATGAATATCATATCATATGAACCCAAAGAGTCAGCTTAAGTCAATCACCTTATTCCATCTGTTCCTTGGTGACAGTGATGGTATATGATGGGCATATGATGAGTAATGTGGGCCAATGAGATTGAGTCCAAGGGCTTATGGGGATGCTGCTATTCAATGTGCTATGTTTGAGAACCTACCAGTTATTTTTTTTTTTTTTTTTAATTTTAAGGGGAAGAACCTAGAGCACCTTGTGAAACTGACATTGAGGAAATGGCATGGTAAAACAGTAAAAAAAAATTTCTTGTTACATGGAGTGAGCTGCTTCATCAAGCTTCTGTTGAAGGCAATCCTACTGGAACTTTTAGTCAAATGGAATTTTTTAAAAATCTCATTTTAAGGTTTCCTGGCACTTGTAACTGAAAGATCCTAACTGACACAGCAGGAAAGCGGAAGGGTGGCAACTGTTCAGTTAGGGCATAGTTCTCAAGATTGTCCTTTAGGAACATGTATCTTTGTGGGATCTCATCTATCTCATACAAGGATTGCATTGATGCATGTAGTGTTCAGTAGCATGACTGACCAGAGTGGAAGTTCCTGGAAATTGTAGCTATCATCATGATGATGATGGTGATTATGATTGTTAAAGACTGGGTTAGGAAATGATTTTGTAAATACAATGAGAAGAAGAGCTTTAAAATTTGCCTAAATTTCCCCACTTAATATTAAAAAGGAGGTGTGCTATTAAATTTTAGGTTTTTCTCAAACTCTCACAGCTATTTTTGTGGGTTTTTAGTGTATTTCGAGCCCCCTTTTCCTTCATCTCTATTACTTTATGATAATGTGAAGGCTCATTGTTATGTGAACGCACTGTTATGAAACAATACTCTCAGACATAAGCAGCTTTCCTTAAACCAAATCAAAAATACTATTTCTATTGCCCATGATTTTCAGAGGACTTCAGAGGACCCTGAAGCATGGGGTGCTGTGAATGCCACTAACTAACTTCATTAATCACACTTATAATGTAAAGGGAGAATTTTCTACTTTCTATAAATAATCTAAAATTTAAAAGTTTGTCAACTAAAACATTTGTAAAATTTGTATTGATAAAGTCCTACAAATAATATGACTCCTATCTTGTTTGAAATAGTTTTGTCTGAAGTTTTGTCATAAAATGGAAACTACCTATACACATGAAGTTTGCGGGTCCTTGAAAGAAAGGGTTTTTTACTTCTTTTTTCTTTTTGTCCTAGTCCATTCAGGCTGCCGTAAAAAAAAAATACCATAAACTGGGTGGCTCACAAACAATAGAAATTTATTGTTCATGGTTCTGGCAGCTGGGAAGTCCAAGATCAAGGCATCGACAAATTTGGTGACAGATGAGGCCTCGCTCCCTCAAAGACAATAGTCTTATCACTCTAACCTCATGTGGCAGAAGGAGTAAATGAGCTCCCTGGGGCCTCTTTTACAAGGGCACTAGTACTACTCATGAGGGTGGAGCCCTTATGACCTGATTACTTCCCAAAGGCCACACTTTCTAATACCGTCATCTTGGGAGTTAGAATTTCAATATATAAATTTTGCGGGGGACACAAACATTCAGTCCATTACACTTTTAGTGCCATAATGGGATTTGGTTTTTATTATCAATGACCTACAGGATGTACATTTTAATCTTAAAATAATCTAGGGCAGAATATGTGTTCATGTAACTCAGTTTGTCACCATTCTTTTCACCATCATCATCAGGACTTAATGCCTAAACATACCCTGAGTATGTTTAGCATACATACCCTTGTGCAACTCACCTGAGAGTGGAAATGAAACGATGAAAGCACCCCTGCACTCTTGGCCTAGGTGCACATTTACTGATATTACACATTGAGCAGAAGAGACTTAGCAAGAAGCTAATGAAGCTTAAAGTTCAGGTCCCTGTACTTGCATGTTCCTTCCAGGGACCTGGGAGGGACTCTGGCAATTTTTACTTGTAAATTTCTAATTTTTTTTCCAAAATAGGGCTTTCCAGAATTGTATCTGCCTCAGGCCTTACAAAAACAGGGAATATCTTGGCATCTATGTTTCTGTTGAGAGGTAGGAGCAAAAGGAAAGCTTTAACTCCCAATCCTGGTGTCGTTTCCAGGCACAGAGAGTTTAAAATATTCCTCTCTTCCTCACCATGTGCAGAGAACACTGCATTCAGAAGCATTACCTGCAGCTCATGTTAGTGAGAGACAGAGAGCTGCAGTACTGTGCAGCCATTCCTGGTTCATTAGCAAAGCAATGGGTATGTAGATGCAGAGAATAAGGACTTTTGTAATTTGTCATTAATCCTGGGATAGGAGGATAATAATACAGGACAAGTGCAGCATGCAGGCATGAGAACATTGAGAAGAGAACCCATGGGAACAGGAAGAAAATGAGCATAACTACACCAAATACAGATTTCTGTTTTCAACAGACTAGTTAAGTGTTTGTGTCAGTCTTTTGTGAAAAGAATTGGGACTTACAATCAGAAACTGCACATACTTCGAAAACTGCAGCTTTATGCTAACTACATCATGTCTGTATAGTAAGCTAACCATATAATACAGTATTCTACTATACTAAATATGAAGTAGAATGTATTTGTCATTTCATAGCACAAATCATTCATATAAGACATTTCCTTAACATACGTAACATATGATACAAATTTATTTAAAATACACTCAGACTCTTCCATATCCACCATATCAGTAACAGTCACCTCCTTAGGAGGGGTAACTCATGTCCTCCATTTGTGTCATATTCTTCCTCACCTTTTTCTTTCTTTTCTTTTTTTTCTTGAGAATGAATCTCACTCTGTCACCCAGGCTAGAGTGCCATGGTGCAATCACGACTCACTGCAGCCCTGACCTGGGTGCAAGCAATCTTTCCACCTCAGCCTCCAAAGTAGCTGGGACTACAGGTGTGTGCCACGACATCTGGCTAAGTTTTCAAAGTTTTTTTGGAGATGAGGATCTCCCTATGTTGCTCAGGCTGGTCTTGAACCCCTGGCTCAAGCAGTCCTCCCACCTCAACCCCCCAAAGTGTTGAAATTATAGGAGGGAGCCACTGTGCCCAGCCTTCCATACCTTTTTAAACATATGTTTACTTTTTCAATTGCAGTTAAGTGTAGATATTATTTTATCAACTCTTAGGGCCACATTTTAAAAAGTAAGTATCTAGTATTCTACAATATAGATTCTGCAACTTTTATTTTAAACTCAAAGATATATGAAAGATCTTTTCATAATGTATATGTAGATGCTTCTTATTATTAACTACTGTATAATATCCTATAGTGTGACCATACCGACATTAATTTATCCATTCCCTTATTGGTGGAACTTTTGCTATTACATTCAATGCTGCAATGAATATTTTTATGCATTTTTCTGCGTATTTGTGTTTCTCTAGGAAAGACCACAAAAACAGTAGAATTTCTGGGTCACTTTACATGTGAATAGAAACTGTCAGATTGTACTCCAAAACTGTTCTTCTGGTTTACAGTATTCTTACCACATATGTGAGTGCCCAGTTCCCCATCTGCTTAGTAATATACAGTGTTATCAATCTTTTCAGTTTTCTTTTTTGCTAATTTGATGAGCATAGTTTTCTGATTATTGGATTATTTAATTTCTGAGTTAATATTTTTATACCTTTATAAGGTTTCTCATTAAAGAACAATTCTGAATATTTTTATATTTAGATACTTGTAATTATAACTTATCTATTATGGGCAAGATTCTGGAGCTCAAATTGATAAATAAGGTAAGCAGCCAGGTCAGAAGGCAGTCATACAACATTTATTTCTGGCTGGTTGGGCTGTGTATTACATCCAGGTCAGAGATGCTTTCTACTTCAGCTATCTGAGGGAAGACAGGAGAGGTGCTTAACTAACCTTAAATACATCTGATAGACATAATTTAAGTAGGTTTAATTTTATACACATGTATTCAGCAGCTACTGTGTTCACAGCCCTCTCTAAGATTAAAAGATAAATCAAATATAATACTTACCTTTAAGTATAATAGTGAACACTGATAGTGTAAAAAAAAACAGTTTAATAGCAAACACTGATTGGCTAAAAAATAAATGCAATACAAGAACTGTTTTGATGAGGGACAAATGACATAAAAAATGGGTTCTGCTGGCTGGACGCAGTGGCTGACGCCTGTAATCCCAGCACTTCTGGAGGCCGAGGCGGGGGGATCACGAGGTCAGGAAATCGAGACCATCCTGGCTAACACGGTGAAAACCCGTCTCTACTAAAAATACAAAAAAATTAGCCGGGCGTGGTGGCAGGCGCCCGTAGTCCCAGCTACTTGGGAGGCTGAGGCAGGAGAATGGCGTGAACCCAGGAGGTGGAGCTTGCAGTGAGCGGAGATCGTGCCACTGCACTTCAGCCTGGGAGACAGAGCGAAACTTCGTCTCAGAAAAAAAAAAAGAAAAAAAAAAAAGGATTCTGCTGAAACTTCAAGGAGAGAGCTCCAAATGGGATCTTAGGGCAGACATCAGAGCCAGTGTCTGTGCACAACCTTGAAAACATACAGATTTCATGTGGCAGGGGGATGGGGAAGGACACTCAAAACTGAGAGAAAAGAAGAGCACAGAGGCTAGATCTTGGCCTAACTAGTGTGTGAGTGAACTTTGAGGATGGGAGTTAATATGGGACATAAGCCCAGGAAGTTCTCTGGGCCTGAAATATACATTATTCTGTAGAACAGTTTTTCCAAGTGCAGATCACCTACAGCTGAACTGGAGGCTGCTCATTTAAAACATACACTCGCAGCTTCACCTCAACCAATGAGATTAAAATATCTAGGCTGTGGGGCCCAGGGATCTTCATGTTTTACAATAGTCTCTGAGGATTTTTAAAAATTGCGTTCGATTTGAAATTCGCTCTTGTAGACAATGCTGAGTCTTTGAAAAACTTTGGATTCTTCTGGGAGAGAACTAAGGGAATCAACCATTTAGGGAACAGCTTGCAGGTGGTTAGGGAAAAAGAAAGGGAAGTGACCCTGAAAACAATCCTATTGGCTAGATGCCCTTAGGACATACTGTCCTTCGGATTGCTCTAATATCAAGATGTATGTTGGTCAAAGCAGCCCAGGTCAAAAGCAGAGATGCGTTTAGGGCCATTTAAAACCAATATTAGCCTTAATGCTCTTTGAAAGAGGCATAATTAGGAATGTAAAAGTCAGGTTACCTCTGATTAGTGAGAAACAGAGTGAAGGGTGAATCCATTAGAGGCTTCTTGTAAGACATTCACACTTTAAGAACATTGCTTTGATGGCTTTGAAGGGGGTGGAATGGGGGAGAAAGGCAGCAGAACCAGTTCTTACTTCAAAGACCTATTACAGCCTTTTTCTTTTTAGGACAATACTCTTAAATGTTTTGAGTAGCACTAAAAGGTTTTTTAAATTTGAATATAATGGATTTGGCCATTTGCAGGTAAATTTTGATTGGCCATAAGATTAACTCATACTATGATTCAACTAATGGTTTTGAAATTGTTTGAATTTGCATATATGCATTTATATTTTCATTCACATAATTCCAATGGGGATCTTTATTCCCTGTTTGGAAATGAAACAGAGGTTAAGTGATTTCCTTCAGTAGATACTAGAAACCAGGTTTTCCAAATCCTAGTCTAGGGTTCACATCTCAAAACTCCTTGAAGAAAATGAAAATATGGTGGAGATGCACTTTGGCAGATAAGGAAATAGTTCTCCGTCCCTTGCAGATATAAACACTTGGGTATATAAAGCAATCTGAGAAATGGAGGGGAATCACTCACAAAGGAGTTTGAGAGGCCTGGCTAGAGGAGGCAGACATGGTTAAGTAGAAGGGGCCAAGCTGCTGAGCAACCTGAAGATTCCCCCTGCCAGTAGAAGCTCCAGTACAGAAGCTACAGTTTGATTGCTGTAGTAAACAATCAGGGCAGAAGACACCGTGACAAAATATTCTTCAATAGGGGAATCTGCTTATGTAGAAGATACTCACAAGTCAGGACAGAAAGGACCGAATTAAAGTGGGGAATGGGCTTAAAGAGTTTTTGGGGAGAGAAGGTTCTTACATTAGGCCAAGCCTAAGGTACAATAAAAGGAACCAAGAGTTTAACATCCATGGTGTACCTACCAAGTGCTGGGCACTGTGCTATTTACACACTTGGGATTTAGAGGGACAGATGGGATCCAACAGATGTAAACTTTCAAATGTTGTCCTACTGGAAGTGCTACAAAAGGAGGGTCTTTCATTCCATCCTTCTCATTTCCTACCTTTGAATTGCATTTGTCCAAACAAATTCCACAGGTAATACATTGATTTACGTGAAAGGCAGTTCATAACAACATCTTGATTTTTTTCATTAAAATTTTTTTTATTAGTCTCTATGTCACTGTATCAGGGAAATTAAGACCAGAGCATATGGCTATATAGACCCACTATGGTTTGCTTTTTATAGATATCTGTTTAGGAAACAAGTCTTGAAAATCAATAATATTAATCTCTGAAGTATTCCTGAGATTTTCAGTGAATGTGTAAAGACATTTGACTTGTTTGTTTTGTTTTTAATACAATTAAGTCCATATTTATATGGCTCACTTCCTCAGTTTTTTTAAGGACAGGTTGAAGAAGTTCAAGGTCTTATGCTTTGCCCCTAAAGCAACTGCACTCTTGTTTGGGAGAAAAACACACATAAAATGGTGACCTAACAGGTAGAACACACTAAAACTCAGTAAAGAGGGATGGCATAGAAACCATACTAACCATATTTGAGTCCTCACTCTACCACGTATTAGTTGTGTGATTCCAGGCAAATTGCTCAGTCACTCTGTGTCTCATTTTTCCCATCTGTAAAGTGGGAATAAAAAGTTAATTAACACATCTACGGGTCTTAGGACAGGAGCTCCATGTTTATTATTTCTTAGGAAGATGTATGTAAATAAAGTGTGAATTTTTGAAGGGAGAGGTTTCTTTGAGTATGAATACTTAGGGGAATTTCCACGGACCACTTAATGGATCAGGTAGAATTTGAGCTGTGAATTTCAAAAATAGTAGAAATATATATATATTTATATCTAAATATATTTGCAGTTACTGACTCCTTTCTGAAGCCAAGTTTATATCCACTGACCCCTCTGGCAAGAATGCATCCATAATGGTTTGTCTTTCCATAATCAGAAATTTTTAAATTATAAAATATTTATTATAAAACATGTAGAAAATATGCAAGTACAAAAATGAAACTATAATTCTACTTTATCCCTTGTTGAAAGTTTGTTGCATTTCCTTCCTATCTTTTTTTTTCTTCTATGCATGTATTTTAACCAAAATGTGGTCATATTATACATGCAGTTTTGTATCCTACTAGGACAGCATTTTCCATTGTCATCAATTATTCCTGAAAAACACTGTTTTTAATGATTATGTAAGCAGACAGGGAGGGTCTCCAGGGACTATAGGAATTTAATCAACTCGAGCAATCAGCCTGTTTTACAGCCTCCTGCCTTGCAGCCTGTTTTTTCCCTAACCCTGTGTGGAATGTGGTAACCTAGTGGGCTGGAGCTAGGTCCTGACAGACCCAGGCAACTTATAGATGAACCAGAATGAACTTTCCTCATTACCATGCCAAAGTCTCCACCCCAGGAGGAGATGCAGCTTTATTATCATAACATGTGCCCTATGTGCTGGCAGGATGACTGACTGAGTCCATGCCCCTGGGACCCCTCCACTATGTGCAATGATGTACCCTCTACCCTCTTCATTGCTCCATAAAACCCTCTCCTCCCTTTCCCTCAGCGAGATGCTGCTTTGGAGAATCCTTTCAGTGCTCTCCTTACCTGTGACAAGTAATAAAACTCCTATAGATCAAAACCTGCATTCTTGTGGAGAGTCGTTTGTTACTTACCCCATGAACAAACCCTGTATTTTTTCTGGTAACAATTTTGGATCATATGATTCATCATTGTTTATTTATTGTTATAATTTAGATGTTACAGCTTTTCACTATTATATAAAAAATACAATAAATATTTTTCTACCCAAATCTTTGTGAAGTTATTTGATTGTTTCCTTGAGAAAGCACCCTGAAATAAATGTACTGGGTTCAAGATTATGGATGTTTTAAAAATTCTTCTTGCTTGTAGTTGAAATGATTTCAGAAAGGTTAAACTAATTTATACCCCCCCCCCCCCGCCTTTTTTTTTTTTTGAGACAGAATCTCGCTCTGTCACCCAGGCTGGAGTGCAGTGGTGTGATCTTGGCTCACTGCAACCTCCACCTCGCTGGTTCAAGTGATTCTCCTGCCTCAGTCTCCATGGTAGCTGGGATTACAGGTGCCCACCACCACGGCTGCTAATTTTTGTATTTTTTGATAGAGATGGGGTTTCACCATGTTGGCCATGCTGGTCTCAAACTCCTGGCCTCAAGTGATCTGCCCACCTCAGCCTCCCAAAGTGCTGGGATTACAGGTGTGAGCCACTGCACCCGTCCTAAACTAATTTATACTCTTGCTAGCAATGTTTAAGAGTTTCCAACTCACTGTATATTCATTAAAATTAGTACTATCATTTTTTAATCTTTGTCAATTTAATAGGTGAAACATAGCATTTTACTTTAATTAGCAATATTTGTTGGCTAGTGAAGTTGAACTTTTCTCCAGCTTTATTGAGGTAAAATTGATAAACATCTTATATATTTAAAGTATATAACATGATGTTTTGATAGATTTGTACATTGTGAAATAATGACCACAAACTAATTAACATATTAATCACCTCATGTTATCAATTTTTTTTTGGTGAGAACATTTAAAATCTACTTTCTTACCAAATTTCAAGTATACAATACAGTATTGTTAACTATAGTCACCAGACTGGAAGTTATGAACTTTTAAAAAATGTTTCTTCACTTTGATTTCTCCATCACTGATCATCCAAATGTACCCTTTGTCCAGTTTTTGAGGGGAGGGGATTTTGGTTGTTGTTTGTATCAACTTGCATGAGCTTTTCACACAGTAGTGGCATTAACTTTTTGTCAAATTTGTGCCAAATTATTTCTATCTGTCCTTGATGCATGTAAGTTTTCTATTCTTATGTAGTCAATTTTTAAAGTTATTTCCACTTGTGATTTCTTCCACTGCTTTTAAGTTTAGAAAGCATGAATTTCTGTTTGTTTTTCTTTAAAAAATTTGTATAAAAAGCTAAATATTTACCATGAAGAGGTAAGGGAGATTTTGTTTTTATCATCAGGCTTTTTTTCTCCTGCTCTTTCATTTCCTTCTTCAAACAAATCTATGATAATTAAAGTCATTTATGGTTAATTTTGGGAAAACACATTTTTCTCAATTTCAAAATTTCTCCTCTTGTTTCACACCCATTTCTTGTAGAGTCTGCAGTAAGTGCAGTAGTCACATTAAGTAGAAATTATTTTCCACTGAGGGCTATAGAAGTATCTGTTCTTTACCTTCCTAAAAATGCATTGCTTGACAAAGATTAAAACTTTGGCACATAGGAGTTTTAAAAAATTTGCTATTGACTCAGTGTGCTCATGATTTGGCAGAATCCATTTTGTTGAGTTTGCTGTTGTTGATGTTGGTTAAAACCTCCTCAGTGCAGAAATGTAAAATGCACATCATCTCATTTGTTTTCTTAAGGAGACTGATTCTACCCTCTGCATTGCTTCTCAGCGGGTCTGCCTTAAATGAGGAGAAATTGGGGGATGGGAGAATTTATACAATCATATCTCACAGGAGGTTTGATGTAAAAGAGATTAAGCCTTAGCATTGTTTCCCAAATTATTTTAAATGTCAGCTTAAAAGGCTTTTAAGGTTTTTTATTTTGAACGGAAGTATTAACTAGAACGCCAGGGGCAGTTAGTTTGAGAAAAGCAATACTGTGCATCTTAAATTGGGTAGAAATTTTTATGACTCAAATTCTTCATTTATTATACCCAGATGGTGAGAGCAGGCTGCTGTCTCTGATGCCCTGGTGGAAACAAACCATCAAGGGACCCTTTTTAAAGATGGAAACCTCACTAGGACGTTTCAACATGGTGTCAGCATTGCCTCTTCTTTGCCATGTTGACTGGAGCATCTTGAACTTGAAAACAATTCACTGAATTCCCAAAGTTTAAAGATCTTCCTGAAATTTCCCGTTGCCTGTATGTGCAGGGGCTATGGAATTAACTGAAGGTGTTGCTTCACCAAAGTAACTACCCACCCAAAAAGATGAAGCAATTATTTGCTCATTCAACAAATTATTTGTTCATTATCTATTAAATACAAGGTGTCCTATGGAGTTAAAAGAAGTTGCTTTTAAAAAGTTAAGTATAAAAACTGAAGAAAATACTTAAAAGTATAATTCATAAATTATAATACCTTAATGAAAAATTCTTTCATTTCTAGGAATCCTTTATTTTAAAATGAAATATACTTGTCTAATGTGGCATTGATGGTCGCTTAGTGTGTACAGCACTTCATAAAGTATGCTTACATATGATATATCATTTGGTTTATCCACTCTTTATAATACATAGCAAAGACATTACCATCTTCATTTTATAAATCAATGACTCCATAGGTAAAATTACATGGCTAGTAAGAGATGGAGTTAGAAATCAAACACAGGTTCTTGAATCTTAGGCTGACTTCATTCCCTCTATGCTATAATGCTGAAAGAGAGGGAAATAACAAACAGCTACTTTTGTAGGTGTGACATTTTAAGTGTTAGAGCAGCATTTTACTGGTGACTGCTGTCATAGCTTTCTTTGTAAACATGAATGTAAATTAGGGTATTGCTAGGATTTAATCTTTTATAAAAATAGAACAGCAGCTATGGTTTAAGTATAGTATGACTGCAAAGAAACTTTATGATATTTTGAGTTTAAACATGGAACACTCATTATTGCAACTTTTTTAGGAGAGAGAAACCCCAGGTTACGTTCTATCTCAGCATTGCATCAGAATTTGCTTTATTTTTGTTTTTTGTCTATTTCATTTGATACTGAGTTCATCTGGAGATTCAAAGCTGAAATGACAAATAATTGTAGCCACAATCACCTAATTGTGCTGATCATTAAGAGGGGAGGGTTTTCTGTCTGAGGGTAGTGTGGCTAGACAATGACAGGCTGGGTTATAACTGCTGAAACCACCATTGTGTGTTAAAAGAATGAGCAACAGATCCAGAATTTTGGTTGTTTGACTATATGAATTTTTGCTAGACTCTAAACTTGAGAAAAGTTTTAGTCATGGTACCCTTGCTCAGTAAAAAGCAGATGGGGAGAGGATTGTCATCATTTATACTTGGGCTACAATGTAGCATGGATGCAATTTTGGAAAATAATTACTTAAAGGCCATAATACCAAGGAGTGAGGACATAATCAATTCAATTCAATAAATGTTTATCAAGTGCCTCCTCTAGGTCAGGCACAGTGCTGGGACCTAAGGCTATGGTAGAAAACAAGTGAAATACAGCCACTTTGGTCACAGAGCTAGAGGGTAAGGGAAATTTCTGGTGTTAATATGTGATTAATTACAATAACATGATGAATAAAAAAGTAATGTGATTAATAAGAAAGTGAATGAAGAGGCCAGGCGCAGTGGCTCATGCCTATAATCCCAGCACTTTGGGAGGCTGAAGTGGGCTGATCACGAGGTCAGGAGATCAAGACCATCCTGGCTAACACAGTGAAACCCCATCTCCACTAAAAATACAAAAAAATTAGCCAGGCGTCTTGGTGGGTGCCTGTAGTCCCAGCTACTCAGGAGGCTGAGGCAGGAGAATGGAATGAACCCAGGAGGCGGAGCTTGCAGTGAGCCGAGATTGCATCACAGCACTCCAGCCTGGGTGACAGACCAAGACTCCATCTTAAAAAATAATAATAATAATAATAAAAATAAAAAAGTGAATGAAGAGTAAAGAAATCTAATCTAGTCTAAGGACTAAAGGAAAACTTATTGAATCTTTCAAAGATCTTAGCAACAAAAATAGTATTTAGAAAAACCAAGGTATGATGGTTAATTTTATGTGTCAAATTGATTGGACCACAGGGTGCCCAGATATTTGGTCAAACATTATTTCTGGTGTTTGTGAGGGTGTCCTTGGATGAAATGAATGTTTGAATCTGTAGAGTTACTGAAGCAGATTGCCCTCTCTGATGTGGGTGACCCTCATCCAGTCAGATGAAAGACCGAATAGAACAAAAAAGGCGGACCCTCATGCAAATAAAGGGAATCTCCTCTTTCCTGACTGCTTGAGCTGGGACATAAGTCCTTTTCTGCCTTCAGAATTAAATTAAAACGTTGGCTCTTTTTGTGTCTTAAGCTGCTGGCCTTGGACTGGAACTTACACATCAACTCTTCTGGGTCTCCAGCTTGCTGACTGGAGATCTTCAGCCTTCTTAGCCTCCATAATCACAAGATCTAATTCCTTAATAAGTCTCCATCTCTCTTCCTCTCATCCTCTTTTCCCATATACATATATATAATTAATATTTATATATATGTATATATACAGACATACACATATACATACACATCCTATTGATCTTATTTCTCTGGAGAAACCTAATACACGAGGCATCAAAACCAAACCAGGGCCAGGCACGGTGGCTCACTCCTGTAATCCCAGCACTTTGGGAGGCTGAGGCGGGTGGATCACAAGGTCAGGAGATCGAGACCATCCTGGCTAACATGGTGAAACCCCATCTGTACTAAAGAATATAAAAAAAAAAAAATTAGCCAGGCGTGGTGGCGGGTGCTTGTAGTCCAAGCTCCTCAGGAGGCTGAGGCAGGAGAATGGTGTGAACCCGGGAGGTGGAGCTTGTAGTTAGTGGAGATCACGCTACTGCACTCCAGCCTGGGAGACAGAGCGAGACTCCGTCTCAAAACAAAACAAAACAAAACAAACAACAACAACAACAAACCAAACCAGACATCATCTTCAGGAAGCTTTCTATGACTCACCAAGGCTGGGTTGGGTGCTTCTCCTCTGGACTTCCATAGAATCTTGTGAGTGTAGTCCATTTAAAATTAGAAGTATTTTTCAAATTTTTAGCTAATGTTAGATTCTAGGGATCAATAGCTAAAGAACTATATGTTTCTGAATTAAGGCATTGAAACAAGAATTTCAACATTGCTGAGTCTCAGAGATTGTTTCTACTTATAAGAAAGATCCAAAATATGGTTGTCATATGTCAAAAATAAGCTTTATTTTCAGTTTTACAGAGAAAGAGTATGTGACATTTTCCTAAATATATGGAGACTCTCCATAAGAAAGGAATATATTTAGCGTCAGCAGGGCAAGGGTCATGAAGGTACCCTACTTGATTGAGGACATGGGGTGGGGGCCAAGGAGGTGGTCCATGTGGTCGGGATATTGATTACATGCAGGGGAATTGACCATGTAAGTAAATATATTAAGAGAATTGAAAGCCAGATTTCTCTCTTTTAGAGAAAGGATTTACCAATAAAAAGAAGGAAGGCTAAAGAAAACCCATACATGAGTCATGGGTTTTGGAATTTACAGAGAGATAGATATAGATATTGAAACAAATATAGATTTATGTATAGACATGTGGGTATTAGAGGGAGTAGAAGCAATCATACCCAGTAGCAATGAGTACGCCTCATACCCATATCTTGATTACTAAGTATCATTCTCCACTAAAAGGAAACAGAGTTCCTTGGAGAAATAAGTGATTCTGGGACTGGAGCAGGAAAAGTACAAGATGACTCTGAAAAATGTTGTGTGCTAAAAAAATAAGAAAGCCTACAAAGAATATTGGGGACATATCAAAAGGATACAAGAGTTATTTTGAAAAAACTCTCACTGGCTACATGTAGAATGATCTGGGCCTCAAAAAACCATAATGATAGAAATGTATGAATGGATAAATATAAAAAATTCTACCTTTCAGTAGAATGCCAGATAATGAATGTAAAAGGAATAATAAAATTTAGAAAAAAACACTATTTAAAAACCATAATAATAATAATTGATTAAAGCAAGACTCATCAATGGTTGCTAAACTGGTGGATAACATTTGATGAGGAATGGGATATTTACATAGTCTCAAAATAGAGCCACAGAATTTACTTATTAATGAGTTTTTAATAAGTATAAAAGATATATTAATTAATTTTAAAGTGGAAAATCTGGTCAATACCATCTTAAGGAAAAAAGTTAACACAATCTTTAAATTGGAAAGTTGACATAATGTGTCTTCTGTTATGCACTAAGAAGACTACAGCATCATTTTTGTAGTGCTCTTGCTAAAAATCATGAATATGAATTTAATAATGAAGAAACATCAGGTAAACCCAGACTGAGGGCCATTCTACAAAGTAACTGTTGTGTACTTTCAAAAATATTAAGGTCAAAATAGACAAAACAAAGCAAGCCCTCTTGGCTATGAAATGCATGGCCGATCCTGGATTTGATCCTGGACTTGTAAAGGACGTTAAAGGGACAGTTGGCACAATTTGTTTAGGATCCATGGATTAGATATTATTATTGTATTGATGTTAATTTCCTGATTCTGATTGTTTTGCTACAGATACATAGGAAGATGTCTTAGTTTTTAGAAAATATTCACTGAAATATTAAGGAGTATCCTATCTACAACTTACTCTCAAATGATTCAGAAATGTACATACAGAGAGACAGAGAACAATAAACAAGAAAGAGAATGTAAAATGTTATAATTGGGGAATCTGGGTGAAAAGTGTACCTGATTTCTCTATACAATTCTTGTACCTTCTCTGTAAGTTTAAAATCATGTTAAAATAAAAGTTTAAAAAATTGTTATCCTTAAAATGTAATTACTGACATACCTGTTAACAAATTAAAACAATGTGTTTTAAATGCTTTTGTTTTCTGGAGTCTTTTTTTCATGTTATTGGGTCAGATCTCAGAATCAATACAACTTATCAAAGGCATACATACATTTACTTAACTTTCAACTAATAATCTATTAAACATGTAAAACAGTTCCTGAGCTTTAACAACGTTGATTTCATATTGCCACTTCGTTGATAGAAGAATATAAACCATAGTCAAGTCAAGAACTTGATTTGTAGAAAAGAGAAATCTCAAAGGTAATCTAACAGTTGTTCAGGAAGAGTGTGAGTTATCAGTCACCCTGTAAACACCAAAAAATATGATTTCATTATATCAGGAGTGAAGAGACTGTGGCAAAAACAAAAGAAATGGAAAATGTGGCATTTTTCCACCTAGAGCTCACAATCTAATCCTGAACCAGATCTAGTACCTTGACTACAACCACCAAAGGACTTTAAGACTAGTACAAGTTTCAGCTGTGCAAACTGAAACCTTACACAGGAAGGGATGTAGGACAACAGTGCACAAAGTTGGGAGGGATGAATTCATTCAAGGCATTTTTATGAAGAACAAGCCAGGCTGAGGCATCTTTCTAGCAGGGGGGATACAGCAGTATACTAGACAGACATGGTCCCTCCTGGAGTTTAGGCTTATGGCACAATTAGGAGCTATGAAATGAATAGTCACCATCCAAATTATTTAGTGATGTTTGTAATAAGTATCACAACGGAGAAGTTTGGGTGCTGTGAAGGTGTATGAGGAAGGTTAAGAAAGGCTTCTCAGAGAAAGTGAGGTTTCAGCTTTGGCAAGAAGAAAGACTAGGAATTGACTGGATTAAGGGAGGAGGGAACCTTGCTCTGGGCAGAGAAAATACCCCCTTGTGGAAGGCAGATGGAAACCTTTGAAGGACTGCAAGGTTAGTGTGTCTGGTGCATGGCGAGCTGGAGGGAGAGTGAAACAAGATGTGCTGGCTTATGTGAACCTTGTAGGATCCTAAAAACATTGGAGAATGCGTTGTAGGGGAAAAACGGGGGAAACAAAAGTGGAGAGGATCAGCAGCTGGAAAAGTGGTGCTGTTGTATAGGCATCATGTAACAGAGGGTTAGCCTGGAGTGTTAGCAGTGAACATGCAGAAGAGGATGGAGAAATATATTTGTTGCTGATGTGGAATCCATAGAGTGATCAGATGTGGGGGATGATGGAAAGAGAGAAACCAAAATGACCTGAGAGTCTTGGCTTGAGTGTCTGGGAAAGTAGCAGAGCCGTTTATTAATCCACAGAGGGAGGAGGAATTAGTTTTGAGATAACTGTCATGAATTAAGCCAAGGATACTTCTTGGAGGAGCAAGAAATGAGAAAGCACTCCATGAAAGTTACAAGGAAATTATATGGAAAGGCATGAAGGCAGAAAGAAGGCCATCAGTAAAGGTATCTGCTTGCAGAGGAGCGACTAGAGAGAAGGACTCTATTGAAAAGGAGGAATGTAGAAGACAGTCTCAAAGGAAAGGCAAATATATTTGAATTCAACCAGTTGTGCCTGAAAATAGATGGTGCTGAAGACTACTGTTTAAGGGTTAGATTAAAGATTATCCTATTCTAATTAGGAGTGGGATTGCTCATGATTGACCATGGGGGCAGAGGCAGAAGGAAGGTGCCACTAATTTGATGCCCAAAGAGATTCAACAGTGACAAAAATAAGTAATGCAAAATACTACACTTGGATATTTAGTCCTGTCCAAATAATTGGGATAGGGAAAGGGATTATAAGGAGTGGAGGAGAAGGACACTAGATACCATAAATTCTGCAGGAGCTGGTCATTTGCCAAAATGAACAATGTCAACAATGATAGCAACAGATGCAATGATAGCAACAAATGCAAAGACTATTCATTGTGCCTTTAATACATGCTCACTAATCACTTACTATGTTTGATCTCATTTAATTGGTGCTATCACCTTATAAGTATTTTTTAAAATCTTCATTTGCACCTGGAAAATAGAGCTCAGAGAAGTTATCAGAGAAGATATAATTAACTCCCCAAGCATGAAACAACTTAAGAAGTGGAAGAGGCAAGGTACAGGGCTAGAATGATTAACTCTAAAATTCTTATTCCTTACACAATGATTCTAAATCATTTCTAACCTAGAGAAACCTCAGGAGGCCCAAAGTTTCTATCTGTTCGAAGAAGAATCTGGAAATGGCTCTGGATGCCCCATCCATATCAATTTTGCAGACCCGTCTGGAGCTCTGTTGCAGTGGAAGAAGCTGCATAGGAGAAAGGATGAATGAGAGGGCTGAACACAAGAACACAGAAGGGACTGAAGCCTCCACTTTTCCCCACCTCTGCCTATTGCCACAGTATCTGGATTAAAACTCTATGCATTGATCACTGTTTTGGTTTATTTTTCTGATTCTCTAGGGTGGGAAATGTTCTCTCTCTAGGCAGTAATCCTTCCCTACTTTGCATGACTCCCAAGAAGTAGTGCTGCTAGGATTTCAACCCAGGTCTGGTAGATGCCAGTGTGCGTGGGCTTCTACAGGCAACACACCCCTTTGTAAGGCTGGGGGAAGTTTGCAGGAGGGTCTTTTAGCTAAACACCCAGCGGACAGTGGCTTCCCGAGAGGATGTGACTAGAAATGAGAAAATCTAGAACTTAAACTGCATTTCACTGGCCACAGCTAGCAAATGACCTCAGCTCCTTCTTCCTCTATAGAAATCCAGCTTGCCGGATATAGCACAGAAATTTCAAGAATAACTGCTGTGTAGCCTCAGTTACTTTATTGTTAAAAGCTATGCACCAAAATATAGGATAGCAATTGTGGGAGAGAGGATGGGTTTTACCAAGTTTAACTCAATTTAACATTGTGTCTTAAAAAAATCTTATGTTTCAAACCAATTCCGCTCATTGAGGATTCAAGTTCACATAACTTTGCAACACACAGCTTCCTGCCACTATGGAAAAAGGGCTTTAGAAGACTTACAAGGCTTCATAGACTTCAAATAAGTCTTATGAAACAACATGTTCACGTGTTAAGTGCAAATGAGTCAGAAACATAAGGATTAAATTTCCCTTAAAATACACAGGGGTTTGAAAATGAAGGGAAAAATGCTGAGGGCAAAACGTGTTTTGGATTTTGGCAAACCCAAAACATTTGAAAAAAAAAGTGGTTTGATGTTTGATGAACCCTAAACACAGCAGAGTCTGCTCATCTCTCATTGTAATGAAGACCAATAGACCATTTTTGTGTGAAAATGCAGAATCCCACTGGAACTGCCTGTGGACCCCTCACTACTGTAGAACTTGACTGATTCTCATTTCACTAATTCACAAACTTCCTTGCTCACACAGTGGTGGTGGTCTCCCCACAAGCGTTCTCAGCAAAGACATAGTAAGAGCATATTGGAGAAGACGCCTCGGATTACTAAGACTTCATTAGTCTTATAAAATGCACTTGGGGGCATAACCACTGTACAATAAAACATTAACAGAAATCATTAAAATGGAACCATGCCTCATCAAGATAAATAAGAGGACTGTGTTTTATGTGGCATTGTCTTTATTTCTTTAAATTGGTTTGTTCACTTGCTAATTTGCAAAACTGAACAATCAGACGTTCTGTGGTATAAATTAAAGCAGTGAGATTCCTCCATTCATAGATATCCCATCAGAACCCCTGATTTGTACTGAAGTTTCTGAAGTCATAAAGATGAGAATTAAGTCTGGAGGATGTTGTAGGGGCCACAGTAATATTAGGAGGTGAATAAAGAGAATGGTGTTTTTTTCTTCCCAAAGTACTTTCTGAGGGTCTATGTGAGAACAGAATTTGAAGTGTCTTTTTTTGCCCCTTCAGTCTTAGGTCTCTCATTGTGTGCAAACACCGGCTTCTTCATTAACAAATTCCCAACCTAAATAATTCCCTCTGAATTATTTATGTTGGGCTTTGATTTGAACAGACATTACTTTACTCTTATAATCCTCTAGTAGTTGGAGTCATGTGACAAGCTGTCCACTTTTTAAAAGACTCTTTCATAATGAGTCCCAAAAAATGTTTCAAAGACAGATTGCTCTAAAAATAGCAACATTAGGCACCATGAATGAGTGCTGCATGCCAGCCCTGTGCTAAGCTCCTTGCATACCCTATACCACAGAAACTTCTGTGAGGGAGGTGCTATTACCTCCATTTTGCAGATGAGGAAATGGAGGCTCAGCCAATGAAATCATCATGGTAGAATTGATATTTGCACCATTCATTCATTTGACAAACATTTATTAAACAATTTGTGTCAGGCATGATGGCAGATGTTGAGGATGTCATGATGAATGACAGAGCTCTTGCTCTCACAGAGTTGGCATTCTAGATGGAAGAAGACCTTTCTCACCTGAGAGCCATGTTCTTGACCACTGTATACATTCTTTGTGGTTTTTAAGTACAGAGGGACAGAAATCAACACAATATGAATTTCTCTAGAATTAGTTCATATGAGAGTGTTTGGTTATAGGAACAAGGCTGTCTGTAAGATACCATTCTTCAGGTAGAGAAAAGTTGACAAAGCAGAAAAGAAAACCTCTTATGCAAAAAGTTAACCTTCTCCATTTTGCAAATTGGCATACTGTAAGTCTAAAACCATTGCTAAATACACTGACGTGGGCCTGGACCTCAAGTTGTTAAGAATTCCTTTGTAGGTAAGGAGGATGTTCTCCCCTACCTTGGGTGTCCAGTTGAAAAAGAACTTTGCTTTCTTTCTCTATTAGCAAGTACTTGCTGGTATCCTTGTGACTTTCCCAACTAACTGATTTGAAATTTTATGGATCTGAGGGTAATTTGTTGGTGGCATATATATATTTTTTAATCCAGAAAGCTTGGGCTTGTAAAACTTGAGCTGCAAATTTTTATTTGCCCAGCGTACAAGAATTTGGGGGATGAAAAAGGATCTAGACCAACTTTCTTAATTTATAGAAACAGAAAAACTGAGGTCTAGATATTTGAAATACACATAGCTCTCATCAGGGCAGGTATGGTCTAAATCTCATAGGAAAGAATCAGAATTAACCATTCTTAAACTAAGTTTTATTGATTACTCACACATTCATTGGAGTCACTCTCATTATTATGATTTAGAAAATATTACCTAGAAACTCCAGTCCATCACTGTGGGAAGTCAAGCTCCTTTCCCAGAATATCTGCACATTTCCAGGGCTCACATTCTTATGCCCACCACTGACTCCAGGTTCCAGCTGCTCACCTTGGTTCCATTTGAGGATAATCATATCGTCCCTCACATTATGTTACTGCTCCATGGTGCATTGGCCTACACTTGGAACTCAGAACTTTGACATAATTCTGTCCCCGCCACACACACACAGAAAAAGACCAAAGCAAGCAGTAAATAAAATATAAAAAGACTCATTTATAAAAAGCCTTTTTGGATTTATCAAACTTCGCTGGGGTTTAGGTAAGATTGAGATGATTTATTATTGCAACATCTTACTACTGAATATTGGACAGTCTTCATCTTAAAATGCCCCTTGCTCCTTGTTGCAAGTAAGGCTGAGTCCCCAGCCACATTGCCCTGGATGCTCTTTCTTTCTCTTCCTGCTCCTGTTTCCTTTTCTAAAAGTCTCTCTCTTCTCAGGAACAAAATACAAGTTCTTCTATGTTCCCTTTGTATTAATTGATATATAATTCATATAACATACAATTCACCATTTTAAAGTGTGCAATTGAATGGTTTTTAATATATTCACAAAGGTGTGCAACAGTCACTACTATATAATTCTAGAATATTTGCACAACTCCAAAAGGGAACCTCATACTCTTTAGTAGTCCTCAGTCCCCTAGCTCCCAGTTCTTGGCAACCACTAATCTACTTTCTATCTTTGGATTTGCCTGTTCTAAACATTTCATATAAATGGAATCATTCAATATATGGTCTTTTGGTTCTGCCTTCTTTCACTTAGTGTAATGTTTTCAAGGTTCATCCACATTGTAGCATATATCAGTACTTCTTTCCTTTTTATGACTGAATAATATTCCATTGTATGGACATACCTCATTTATTTACTCATTTATCAGTTGATGGACATTTGGTTTGTTTCTAACATTTGGCTATTGGAATAATGTTGCTGTGAACATTTGTGTACAAGTGTTTGTATGAACATATATTTTCAGTTCTCTTGGGTATATACCTAGGAGTAGAATTGCTGGGTCATATGGTAAGTTGATGTTTAACTTCTTGAGAAATTGCCAAATTTACGCCTACATTTTCTTCTAAGAATATTATAGTTTTAGCTCCTATAATTAGGTCATTGCTTCATTTTGAGTAAATTTTTGTAGGTAGTGTGAGGTAGGGGGTCTAATTTACTCTTTTGCATGTGGATATCTAGTGTCCCAGCACTATTTGCTGCAAAACTTTTCTTTCCTCATTGAATTGTCTTGGCACTCTTGTTGAAAATTGACTAACCACTAAATGTGTAGTTTTACCTCTATGTTCTTAAGCAGAACAATTCCACAATCTCCAGCCCTCACCTCCAAATTTAGCTCAGGATATTCCTTTGCACACCTACGGATTTAGCTGAAGCATAAAAAATATTGTTCACAAGTATGCCTCTGATTAAAGTCTTAGACAAGAATTACCCTCTAACACACTGGGAATGAGGAGTGAAGAGGAAAGATGGTTTGTCCTTCTAGTTACACAAGAATTAACAATACAATACAGTAGCCAAGAGGATGATCAGACAGTCATACTAGTTGTGTAAAGATTTGGGACAATAATCTAGTCTCTTTGAGCCTTAGTTACTTTTTGCAGTATATATCTCATAGTATTTCCATGTAGAAATTCCTTCTCAGAATTTCTCAGTAAATGTGTGTTTTCATTAATCTTGCATTCCATAAAAATCAATTGAGAAATCAGAAAAACAGGAAAAACTATCACAGTTCTTCTGTGAGAATTAAAGCTTAATAATCAACATAGAAGTGTTATGAGCTTTAAGACAGCCACCAATGTCACAGTGAAAGCAAGAACAAGAACTGCTGACCCTCAGAGTTGAAAGTTAAGGTAAGCATTTCTGGAAATGAGACAGTCCCATATAGGAGAAAAGCAGCCACCATCCAATCCTGATCAGCATTGTATGGCTATTGAGTACTTGAAATGTGGTTAGCCTGAATGAAATGAGCTATAAGCGTAAAATATGAATTAGATTTTAAAGTCTTAGTATGGAAAAAAGAAGGTAAAATATCTCATTAATAATTATTATATTGATTACATATCAAAATTATAATGTTTTGGATATATTAGGCTAAATGACGTATTATTTTTGCCTTTTCCCTCCTTTTTAATGTTACTCCTAAAGAATTTAAAATTATAGAGGTAGCCAGCATTTGTGGCTGATGGCTATTGTTATGTGTGGCAGGCAAAATTTTAAGACAGCCTCAAATTTCCATGCTTCTGGTGTACACACACCTTCTGTTTGTTTGTTTGTTTGTTCGTTCGTTTGAGACAGATTCTCTCTCTGTCGCCCAGGCTGGAGTGCAGTGGCACGATCTCAGCTCACTGCAACCTCTGTCTCCTGGGATCGTGCCATTCTCCAGCCTCAGCCTGCTGAGTAGCTGGGATTACAGGCGCCCTACCATGCCCTGCTAATTTTTGTACTTTTAGTAGAGCCAGGGTTTCACAGTGTTGCTCAGGCTGGTCTTGAACTCCTGAGCTCAAAGTGATCCACCTGCCTGGGCCTCCCAAAGTGCTGGCATTACAGACGTGAGCCACAGCGCCAATACACACCTTCTTTTCCTTATTCAGTAAAAGTACTGCTGTAAAGGGATTTTGGAGATACAATTAAAGAATCAAATCAGTTTACCTAAAGACAGGGAGATTAGGTAGGTGGGCCTGACCTATCACCTGAGCCCTTTAAAACCTGAGTTTTTTCTGACTGGTGCTGGAAAGGAAGGCGGAGAGCCATACTCCAGCTGGCCTGGAAGAAAGAAAAATATCGAGTGTGAACTGCCTGATGGGACCACATGACAAGAAACTGTGGACAGCCTTTGGTTGCTGAGAGTGGTTCCCAGCCAGCAGCTAGCAGGAAAATGTGGATCTAAGTCCTGCAGCCTCGAGGAAATGAATTCTTCCAGCATCCAGTGAACTTGGAGAGGACCCCAAGCTCCCAGTGAGAACTGCAGTCTCAGCTGACACTTTTAGATTTTGGCCCTGTGGATCTTGACCTACAGAAACATGAAATAATATGTTTGTGTTGTTTAAAGCTGCTAAATTTGTGGTAATTTGTTATGTAGTAATAGAAAACCAACTAACCGTGTTATAAGAGCTTGTTTGTGATCTTCTCTGTGACTAAGGGTGAGTCATTCTTATAAATAAAATAAATGTCTATAAGTTCATATGCATCGTATACTTTATACAAATCCTATGAACGGTGTTTCAAGAAATAACACATTTGGAAGAAAATAAGTCCTTAAATTAGCAATTTTGACATATCAGTTCGTGTAGTGTTGTTAATCTTGCTAGGGAGTCCAAATGTTAGGTTTGTTAGCATTATCTCATAATTTTTGCAGGCATTTTCTAATTTTTGAATATTAACTATAAACCACATCTTTGTAAATACTATAAAATATTAAAAAATAAAAACAAGCCAACAAAACAAAACAATCCCACCAACCCACAAAAAAAACCCCACTAAACCAAAAAAAGCTAAACAACTAAAATATTAAATATTACTTCTCTCTTGGTAAATACTAGTAAAATACAGAATAACTTATGATTTCAGAAATTTCTAAGATTTTCTGGGGATTCTAATTTTTTTTGTTTTCAATTCCCAAAGATTAATATCCATTGGGATTTTGGAAGCACTGGTTAGTCTTGTTATAAGGATTAAATAAACTAACAAAACAAAGGACTGAGCCTACGGCCTGCAGTTTGGAAAGTGTCGAATACATGGTTGTCATTATTAGTATCAGTCTTAGACACATAAATAATGAGCATTAATGAATTTAACTACATTTTAATCTGAATTTATACACAATAGATGAGAGGAGAATGGGGGAATTTTAAACAATTGGTTAAGATGAAAGTCAAAGGTAAATCCGCAACCTGAAGATATTTTGACTTATGGAATATTTTGATTTATTAAATAATTTTTTGAAAGAATCACTGGGATAAGTAGTAAAGGCACATGTTGGGGCTCAAAGATGAGGTAATAACAAGGCAAATGATAACCATTTCCTCAAAACCCATGTCTATCCTCTTATAAGAGTTGAAATTGAGTTTGAACAATTTGATATGATTTGCTTGTCACTAACAGAAAAATACTTTGCAGTACCTAGCAAGCAACACACTTTCTGTAACTTAACCACAGAAACAATATCTACTCTTCCTCTGCTTACTATGGGGAAGGTTGCAGTTAAGGTTAAAAGAAAAGAACAAAGAGGTGAAATGGATTGTGATTCCATGTCTTAACTTCCTTCATTTCCTCTGGAGTAGCTTATTTTCTCCTATTCATCCAGCCATATTATCCTCTCAAATCTGAACCTCAAGTTTTCCTGGAAAAGTTGTTCCTGATGAACTCCCCTTGTTCTTGTCAATTTCCACTCAGTCCTCATGGACTTTTTCAGTTGTGTGTTTTCACTTGGAATAACCACCTTCGAAATCTTGTGTGTTCTTTGGTCTGCAGGTGCCACTTCTCCCTCATTAGATTATGGGGTCCTTTGGCAGAATAACAAGGCAAGTTTTTTGTTTGTTTCTTTAGTTTTAATTCACACCGTTCTACACACAAATGGTAATTAACATTGAGTATGTGATGAGAGTCAAGACTTCTGAAAAGATTCCTTTATAACTAAGTCCATTTTTTTGAATTTTGGAATATTCTAGCTCCTGCTGAAATGGAATAAATTTGGTGGAATTTCACCGTCTTAGGACTTTGGGGCTCCTATAAGTCATTATTCCACCTCTGCCCGTCTTGTGTCCTCCATGTAGGACACACAGTGTACATTTTAGCAGGTATCAGCAAATCCCACACATACGGTTTCTTCCAACCCTTTACATGAACAGAAAGTATTTCCATTCATATTAATTCAACCTTGAACCTATTTTAGAAGCAGCTGGAAAAAGCCACATTTATCTTTGCCATTATGCAACCAGCTAAGAATTAAGGAAATCGTGTGGTTAGACAATCGCAAAAAAGACCCAGCTCATTAGAGATGGGCAAACCTTGAAAGAGTCGGTTCTGAGAGGGCCCCTGAAGTTTGGCTCCTTCCCTGAAATTAATAACCTGTACATGTGGCACAGGATCTCTCAGGAGGTTATTGCCTCGTGAGGTTATCACCCTTTTGCCTGTAATTGTCTTTCCCAGCGAGGGCTCCGTCATGGGAGAATTCAGACTAATAGCATTACGCTGTTACTGTGGCAGTCTCCTTACCCAGCCCCATCCTCCCTTTTTTTTTCTCAGAAATGATGGACCTTTTGTCCAAGCAAAAGGAGAAAATTTAGAACAGGAAAAAGCCCACAGGGTCAAATCTTTCTTGTTATATTGTGGGGATGGTCCTATGCTAAGCTGTGTAAATAAAGTAGGATGTTGCTGCCACTGATGATGATGACTTCTCTGGAGAAAACCATCGAGTGCCCTTTAAAACAAAGAATTAGACATGGTCTCTGGTGAGGGGATTTGCTAGGCCTGTGACAGGTGGTAATTTCAAAGTGAGGTCTGTGCACAGAGGGAGGCCTTGAGAACATTGGAGACAAAGTGTTATATGACCTCAAATGTTTCTCTGGCTTGCTTTCTCTCTCTCTTTCTCTTTTGAGCTGCAAGTAGCTTCTGGAGAGCCAGTTCCATTCAGGAATTTCAAGAATCCATGAATTCTCCTGTTACCAAAGTCCTATCTTTTAACATTATCTACAGCCAATTGTTTCACTACAGTAAAATGAATCCAGCGTGGAAAGTGGTCAGGGTATGAAAAAGCCCATGAAGTGAGCCTACAGGACCTGTCCTCCATGTCCACCATCTCTCTGTGCTATCGTTGTTTTCTCATTCTCATAAGTGCAAGTATCAGAAATCAAGGAGACTTGCTTTTACATGTAATTATCTTTTGGTTTGCTGGTAGGCTTTATTTCTAATTTATTTGCTTGAGTCTTCAAATGTGTAGCCATTATGGGCCATGAAACTTCACGTCTGATCATTTGGAAATTTAGTACCCTTTGAAACAAAGAAAATTAAAACAACAACAATAAAAACATTGTCCAATTTCATTCACAATGAAAATATCCCTCAGTAATTTGCAGGAAATGAAAAGTATTATCAACAGAATATGCTTTTCAAAAATTTATAATCCTTTAAACGGGCAAATCCTTTCTCCGGGATTAGTAGCATGGTTTGTGTCCTAGGAGCCAAATCCTATTCCCTAATTCAATCCTCAAATCCTTTCTAACAGTGCCTATATTGATTTCAGACCCAGTTTTGTTTTAAAATTCAAGGACAGAATTTGGTCCTGTGTTTAGAGGTCCTTAATAAGGATTTTTTAAAAATGAAGTTTGTCTGAAACTTAGCCTCTTGTTCCAAAAGTTAAATACTGATGTCTCAATAATATAACAGATGTGCTTAATTTCTAGGTCATCCTTTGTTTTTCCCATACCTAGCTGAACTCATACCTCCCTATATGGAGGAGCAACCTAGAAGGTTGGTGTTGCTCTCCAAAAGTTACTGGTGACTCCAGGTATTTCCTTAATCCCAAATGCTAGCCTTGAGTCTGAGTACAGTTGATCTTCCTACGATATGTTTAGTGTTCTAAGGACTTAGTCTTTTTGAACTCATTGCACATGTATATTATACATATTTATATGCACAGGTGTTAGACACTCTGACAAGACATATAACTGGTATTCTGAACATCTATGGGAAGATGAAAATTATTGCTCATAATGATGATGCATACATAGTGAAGATAGTAAAAATCCTAAATTGACCTTTCAAATCACCTACAAGTGCTTATATGAGCAGCACAGTTTTAGTGAATGTGTTCTATTAAATATTATTTGAAAAATAATTATTGGTGCATGGTACATATGATAGCTCTCTATAAAGCAGAATGTTTGTTTAATCAGAACAGATAATTCTTTACCTAGAAAAGGTATCTAAATTTGCTCTAACTGCCTTACAAAGTTTTGTCTGAGAAAAAAACTAATATATACAAAAGTGCTCTGAAACATAACATTAACTACATTAATTCAGGAAACCAGAGATCAGAAAGGCGGTAGGAGGACAAACAAAACGTGGCTATATCATGAATGCCTAGAAAAAAGGGAATTTTTAAAAGTTCACTGGTAGTAGTACAGATTATATAGTATATACAGTTAACTGTATAATTATATATGCAGTTTGTATAGTAAAAACATTATTGGGTGCATACTGTGAGCCAAGCACTGAATGAAAATATTTATAGAAATTGTGTTGTTTAATTCTCAGAACAATCTTGTGGAAGTAGGTATTATTATCATTACCATTTTACACTCAAGGAAAATGAAGCTTAATTAACAAGGAGTAACTTGCCCAAGATCACACAACTAAGTGACTCAGCCTGGATTTGAATCCACATATGCCAAACTTCAATCCCCATGTTCCTGACCCCACCCCCTGTGGCTTCTTTGTCCTTCCCCAGTCTTGTCTTTCAATAATGTGCTCTATCCCCACACTCTGCTCTGCCAGTTTCTAACAATCTCCTAATGGACAAATCCAGTGATAACCTTTGGTCTCAGTCCTCCTTGAATTCTGTGTTATCTGCTCTGAAATATAATAATGATAATACATACACATGATACGGTAGAGTTTTTGCAAAAACAATTGCAGTAATATGGCAACTACTTCAGACATAATGTTTGGTTATTAAAATAGAAAGCTGTTCATGGTCAAGGTTAGAAGCTCATGTGGTATGACCTTGGATAAGTTGTTTCCCACAGCTATGCTTTCTTCTGTTGTAAAACATCAGTGATAGTACTTGCCTTACTTGGTTGCTGAGAAAACTTACTATGGCAATGCCTATAAAACTGTACTATGCTAGCTTCATCACTAGCGTTCAGTACTCATTATTATATAACATCGCAAGTTTGTTAGGATTATTGTTTGTAAGTATACTGTGTAAAGTCTTCTTTCTCCTTGACCTCCATGGCATAGCTGTGTTTTGTCTTTCTATCTCTCTGATAGTTCTCTCACTGTAGCACCTTTAGTAGACTTCCTTCTGCCTCTCTTCTGCATATTTTTCAAGACTTGATTCTTGGTTCTCTTTCCTCTGACATCTCCAGGATCTTACACTCATTGACTGTCCTTCTGATAGTAATGCCCTGTCATCCCACCTCATGCCCACCAAGCCACTCTATGTCCTCCAATTCCTAATCTGTGCCTGTTTCCCAAATCTGTCAACACCTCTGTCTTCACTTTGTTCTTTCTTAGCCCAAGTCAGCTGGAAAAATCTTTTGGTGTGAAAAGTCCCCTGCTCCAGACTTGACTCTTCCAAACCTATGATCCCTATACATACTATTGTTAACCATTTCCGAAAGTGAATCCTTACAAGAAGTTGTTCTTGGATCCAACACAGATCCCTGCTATCGGACCTCAGTTGGGCATCCAGGGTTAATGGGATATCCTTTTCATCATGGAGAATTAACGCTGTATCATATCCCCCATAATTGTAGTAATAAATTTTCCCATGTTCCTTAAATGCCCAAAGAGACTTCTGTCTCCTTACTCCTATGGACTTCTTTACCAAGAAAATAAAAAACATCTGATCTGAGCTCTTTCCCATTCACTGTTTCCCATGATTACTCTGCCAGTGTTTTTAATCTCATTCCCCTTTAAACTCCTCTGGAATCTTCATCAGTTATATCCCTTACTTTCTATACTTCTTTAAAATTTCTCCTTCTCCAGTGCCTCCTTTCTAATCAGTTGTGTTTTTCATATAGTGAAGATTTTTTTTTTAACCTGCTAACATCTCCAGGTATCATCTGCTTGTTTCTTTGCCTCCCAAATTCCCTAGAGAGCAACCTCCTTAACCTCCAGTAATCTCATTCCCCAGTATTTCTACTGAAATTGGTTTTTTGAAGGCCACCAGGGTCCCCTAAGCCATCAAACCATTGTCCTTTTCTTATCTTGCATTCTTAGTTCTCCTGATGTTTATGTCCTTGTCATGTGTCCCTTTTTCCTTACTTTCTCTTCCATGGCACTGCGTGGTTCAGTCTCCTTAGCAGCTTCTCTCCAATCTAATTTAATCAACAGATATTCAGTATTCACTCATTTCAACTGAAATTGATTAAAAAACCAAGATATCTTTTGGCTAATCTGCCAGTATGGGATATAGCTGATAGCCACATTGTCACCAAATTATTAAGCTTTCTTTTTCTAAAACTAATCGGCTGAAATAATGAATTACATTCCCTTCAACTCCTGGAGTTGAAGATTTGATGGATGGTAATGATTAATTTCTTTGAAATAATCTCACAAAAGGTGCTTTGTGCACTGTTCTAACCCAAATGTCTAGAACAGTGCATGGTACATCTTATTTTAATTTAACAAATAATATATAACGTGTGTTATGTGCCAGGCACTATTCTAAGTGCTTTACAAATATTAACTCACTGAATCCTGAAGACATCCATATAAGGTGGATATTATGGTTAATCCCATTTTACAGATGAGGAAACTGAGAGACAAATAACTAACCCAAGGTTATATAGCCAGCAAGTGACCCAGCTATGATTCGAACCCAGGCAGTATGGTTCCAGGTTCCATGCTACATGGGTACTCAATAAGTGATTACTGATGGGAAAAACCGTTTGCAGAAGTTACTTTCTGACTGTCTTTGAAAGCTAATTTAAGATTTTTATTCTCATTTAAATTATTTCCAGTATTTTGTGTGTTTGTGCTGCTTCCCACAATCACTTGAGACAAAAATTGTTTCTTAATATTTGGATATAAAAATGTATCAGTGGGACAAGGTACTTGGATTTCCAGATAACAAAACCATTTCAGAGTTTCCATCTGTGTTTTTGCTCTCATAGTTGGGGATCTCTGGAGAAGGTACCCTGCAGCAGCCGCTGCCCTCTCAAGGCACCTCTGTATCTGCTACTTCTTTAGAAGGTTTCAGCACACAAACTACCCTTCCTGCAGAGAGGGAGTGTCTTTGGTGGCAGGAAGTCCTGTGATGTTGGCACTGCTCTCTGTGAAACAGAGGGTTAGACATTCTTTTGTCAAGCAGCTCTTTTTTTGGGGGAGGCGGGGGCATGTACTAGCCACTGTCCCTCTTTCCATCTTGTTTGCATACCTTGTGTAAGTAGATAGCACTTCTAAAATCTCATGCATCAAGGAGTCTGTCTTTGGCTAAAAGAAAATCTGGCCAGGCGCGGTGGCTAACGCCTGTAATCCCAAAACTTTGGGAGGCCGAGGTGGGTGGATCACCTGAGGTCAGGAGTTCGAGACCAGCCTGGCCAACTTGGGGAAACCCCGTCTTTACTAAAAATACAAAAATCAGCCGGGTGTGGTGGCACACACCTGTAATCGCAGCTACTCAAGAGGCTGAGACAGGAGAGTCGTCTTGAACCCGGGAGGCAGAGGTTGCAGTGAGCCGAGATCCCACCATCACTGTACTCCAGCCTGGGTGACAGAACAAGACTCCCTCTCAAGAAAAAAAAAAAAAGAAAAAGAAAAAGAAAACCGACCACAGTAGCTCACTGTTTTCCTGCTGATTACCAGTTTTTCTACTACATTATCCTGTCCTATAATTCCTTAGCACACACATGAACTGTATGAACAAGACATGCTGTGATTTCTAAATCATTCATGGCATCTTCATGTTTGTTCCATTGACAATGACAATTATGTGACACCATTTTTTCTTAATTTTTTCATTCTGTAAATGTGTCTTTGAAAAGATTTACTGCAGTGATCAATGTTTGGGAACCAGAAATACCTCAGGAACTGGGTAAAGCAGAAACCCACTTGAATTCGTAATTAGTCCTAAATGCTGCCAAACTTAAAAATAAGACTCCTGGTTGTCTCTGCTTGTCTAAATATCTGCTCCATGACACACAGAAGAATTACATTTAACAATGTCACTTTTTTGTGAAGAGAATGTAACTAGGAAAAAGTTTTTCACTAGTGCAGTAATTATTTGAAGATTAGAATTATAACAAACCCAATCTCTTTTATTCTGTCTTGTATTACTATTTAAATTTTTATAAGCTTGCATGTGTTTGAAAAAGATCCAGCATTCTTCCTAATTTACTGAGGAAATGTACTTTCTCTTAACATTTATGCTGCCAAACTCTATTCTTTTATAGTTATGTAGTAGAAAGTTATAATTAATTTTTTACAGAAATTACTAGCTATTATAATTATAATTAATTAGTAAAGCATGTTACTTTTACAATCATTAATATATTTTGTATTTCAATTGACTGATATTAGGTTGTTTAGTACAGTCAGTTGCTTTACTAATTAATCTTATAGCATTTATGTTATGTGCTATAGCATAAAACAAAACAATGTCTTTTAAAAACTCCAATGGATATTGAGAATACTTACCCATACTTGAAAGTGAATATTGAGATATTAAAATTAAATCTGATCATGTCATATCTATATTTTGGTGTCAAATATCCTTGTATGAAATGATAATAAGGATTGTCCTTTCTAACATATTTACTTCTCAGAATAAAAAGCTGGCACATCTATTTTAAAAATTACTCCAAATGACATGGCTTTGTCATCTTCCTAGCATTGCTGAGCTCATCAAATAAGATTTTAAGCTGCACAATCACAGGATCACTGACCATTTACAACTTCCAGGATACTAAAAAAGGACACTGAAGTAGGTGTTTGGCTTTCTAGAAGCCAAGGCTGAAGCTGATGCCAGATACTAGATTTAGTCTGAATCTGATGTTCAATGCATATCTAAAATTTATGTTTTTCTTCCCAGATTCACAGCTTCCATCTTCTTCTAGGTCTTGACTCTCTTGGTGTCTTCATTCCTAGGTTCTCTTTTCTAAGCTTCTATAGATCTTATGTGAGGTCATCTGACATTTAGTTATTATATTTCTTTTCACTTTCAGTGTCTTGCATTTTTGGCTTCATTGTCTTGCATGGTCATTCAATTTTTGTGTGCATACTTCGATTATTTCCAGCTCAGTAACAAACTACTTGAGATTAAGCATGGACATTATTTTCTTTAGATTCTTTACTGCCCTTAATGCTGTACGGCTGAGAGCTCCATAAAGAACATATGCTTTGTGAGTGAATAAATGAATGACATAATTCAGCTTTTACTGAACATCCAGAGGGGGAATAGTTGTTGTGTCTGTCTTGTGGAGAGGAAGTCTTAGTGCTGAGAAATTTTGCCAAGCTTACTGTCCCATGAATTATCATAATATGACAAACTGGCTTGGAGCTGAGTCATCCATGCCATGTCCATGTTATTAGATCTTGTGACATGGGAAATCTGCAAATGTTAGATCACAAGTACAACTAAATGAGTGTGGGTCTGTGCATGTATAAATATTCTGTTTCAAAGATCTCTTAATAAAGAACATGTACATGGGTTTATAGGCCCCAATTAAATGATATAAAATGAAAGTGACAGAGCCAGGATTTGAACTTAAGCAGTCCTGCTCCAAAGTTCCAGTTTTTAATTGCTCCACTCCACTGCATCTTTATGAGGTACACACAGAATCAGAGTAATCATCATCTAACCTTCATGGGCTCCATTAGCTTAGAAAGAAGCTCAGCTTAATGTCCTAGGCAGTGCCACAGCACCCCTGCCAGGAGTCAGATACTCATTTCCAGACCACCAGAAGCTAGTCCTGGAGGAAAGACCACATGTAGTCTCTAACTGAAGTTCTGGAAGAAGTTGAGGTGCCCTCAGTCAGGTGTGTGGGGTGGTTCCGAGTCAGTCTGAAAGGCCAGCAGAGTGACCATATAATTTACCATCCAAAGCAAGATTCTTCTGACAGTGAAAGGAAACTCTGTAATAATTATGCTGAGAATACAAACGTAAGCTGGGACCACCCCAGGCAGTTTTAGGTTTCTGAGTCTGGGAAACCTCCAAGGAAAAAAAAAATGTAACTAAACTTAATAAATTTGGTAAGACAATGATCCGAAACAGAATAAAATTGGGAAAAGGACAGTCTACCTAGGGATAGAATCCTAATACAGTTAACAATGTTTAGAAAAGAAATGGGCAAAGTGCGTATGACAGATGAAATAGTGGGGCAACAAAGTGCTTAAGTCTCTGACCTGGTAATCTGCTTATAATAGAATAGAAAATCAGTCGTCCTGAGTTGTCATTATATAAGTTTAAAAAAAGTATCTAGACAGGCAGAGCAATATGGAAGTGAGAATAAGCCAAGAGAACAAATGAAGCTGAGAACAGATTTCCAACAACTATTCTCTAGGTGAGGCCCGAATGACTCTAATAACAGGTGAGGACATCACTACAGGAACTCTTAAACAAATTTTGTGTATCACAAGCTCAGGGTGAACTTTAGGGAGCAAGTCTGGGTCAGCCACATCTGTATCTTCCTGGTGCCAAGACTGTTCCATGTTCTTGTCAGATGATGTGCAGGTATTTCTTCTTAGCTGTCTGAGTTTTCTGAAACTTTCAGTGATTGAAAAATAAATGTTAATAAACTTGGGAAATGTAGGACACCAACCATCTGAAAAGAGGTAGAGGACAAGGTCAGTATATCCAGGGACAAAAAAACTAATGCAGTTAACCCTGTCTAGGGAAGAATTGGGTGAGGCTATATGACAAGAAAAGACCTGAGATCTAAATTCAAGTTGAATATAAGTCAGCCATGCATTTCCAGATCAGAAAGAATAGGAATGTGACATCAAAAATTGGAAAGAAACTTATTGTTGCTCCAAGACTTGCCACGGACCTTATGAGGGCAGGATGTACAATTCTGACTTCATAGTTAGAAGAATGATGCAAAGAAGTAAAGTTTGTAAAAGGATGACCGGAAAGATTATAATGGTGGGAGCATGTTCTCTCCTGACATTTGATGAATAAAGACAGAAAGCTAAGGGTTGACTTAATTGTTTTCAAGGATCATGAAGAATATAGATAGTCACTATTTTGCTCCTTTACACTAGATTGAATAGGAAGAAATGGGCTGATATTGCTGCAAGAGATAAGTTGGTAATACTTAAGGAAGTACTTCTCAACCAAATATTGGGGCAATGAAGTGCTGAAGTCTCCGACTCTGAAATCTGTTTACAGTGGAATAGAAAATCACTAGTTCTGAGTTGTTACTTTATAACATATTTGATGTAGGAGGCTGGGGAGAGTGAATGGAGGAATTTGAGATCTGTCTCTTCACAGACCTGGAGGTTCTGAAACTGGTTGGAGGGGAGAAGGAAAAGTCAAAGTCAATTAACCATTAAAAACTATGAAGCCAGCTCTCTACCCGTGGGTCATGGGTGTGTTGAGATGGTTCCTCACACACCAGGGCCAAGCCTTCCCTTCTGAAATCCAGGTGGTGATGCTTTCACATTGTCCCGTGACTTCACCAGGGTTGTTCCTCCTCGTTCTACTTTAGTCCCTGGTGAGTCACCTGGGTGGAGACTCTGCCTTTGGCCCTGAGGAGGCAGCTGCTCCCTTTTGAGCTGGGAGGAGCAGCTTCTGTAGGTGTCACGCCCAGAAACTCCACGCAGCTTTGTCAAGCCTCTAAGCCTTTGTCAAGCCTCTCTGTCTGGTCAGAGATCCAAGACAGAATATCCACTATTATCTGGTATGGTATTCAGTCCTTCTGTTAAGAGAGAAAGGACACCTTTGCACCAGGGCAGTAGCCAACATCAAATCAGCTTCAGGAAACATTGAAGCCAATATAGAAGCACCTCTTAGAGTACAGCATCCAGCCTTTCTCTGCCCAGATGGCCACTTGACTTGAACCTACCTTTATTCAGATCTAGAAGCCCAGAATCTGCAGAACCAGAGCAACACAGCTGTCCTCACAGTAAGGTGCTGGTCTCCCTAAGGGGGAACATGCAATTTTCTGTTTGTGATGCAGGTAGTATAACCAGACAAGATGTCACTGAAGACTCACAACTTCTCACAAGAGGTAGGAGATCCATCCACAGAAGAGAAAGGGCACACAAACCTACCTCTTACAATGTGGATCTGTGTATAGTCACTCAGACCTTCGTTCTGAAATCACTAAATTAAAAAAGAAAAGGGAAGTGTAGCACCAAGAAGTGACTCTTAGAAAGGAATCCTACTGCCTCTTGCTCTTAGGCTCTGATTTTGCCTGCATTAGGAGTCCTGCATTTCTTGAATTTATTCACTCAGCAAATATTCATAGAGTAGCTACTATGCACTTACATAGGTACTGGAGATAAAATGATGAATAAGACAGACATGGAGTTTATACCTAATGGGGGGAGATAGACTATAAACAAAAGAAATAAACAAGAGAATATCAGATTTTGATAGGTGATAATAAATCAGGGTGATTGATGGAGAGTTAGTGCTGGGATGGGAAGATTAGTTTAGCTTGAGATATTGGGGACAGGCTCACAGAAGAGCTGATTAAAGAAGTTAACCAGCAACTTGAATGATAAAAAAGAGCTAACCAGGTGATGATCCAGCTTTCCAGCAGAGGGAATTGCTGGTGGAAAGGCCCTACGCCAGGAAAGGGATTAGCGTTCTGGAAGAAGGGAAGCCCATGTGCCTAGAGTTTCATGAGCAAGGAGCTCAGGGATCTGAGATGAGGCAGGAAAGCCTTGTCAGGAGGCAGATCTCTAGTGGTCTTGCAGCCATGGGGATAGTGAATTAAAAATCCTGTAAGAATTGGATTAGACTCCAGAAGTCATAGAGTTTGCCCTTCTCACTTCAAAAATGGAGAAACAGCCTAGAGGGGTAAATTCTGTCACTCCATCTCAGCCAGCCAAGCATGGTAATGTGGTGACTGAACATGGGAACTTCTGACACGGTTTCTGCCAATTTCTGCTCAACTCTTCCTGAATGCTAGAAAAGAGGGACTATTGAAAGTCATTAAATATTTAAGCACCTGCTCTTTAAAATATGTCACAATCATACTGTCTTTTTGACTCCCACAACTAAAAAATCATGGAGGAAAAAGTCAATCTTGTAGAATAGATTCCTATTTTCCATAGAGAATGATAGTTTGAACATTGGCTTTTCATTAAGAATTAAATTTTCTAAGGACCGAAAGTTTTTACCAAGAGCCCATGTTCAGGTTCTATACTTGCCATGAAGGCTTTTCCTAGCCAGGGCCATACTTCAGATGGGCTGCTTTTGATCCATAAGTTCAGGAGACTCTGGAGAAATGACTGGGTGAAACTTATTATGCACTTTTCCAATGTGGGGAGGACCAGAGAGTGTGGGTGTGTATGAGGAAAACACAGATGAGGTTTGGTCATTATTAAAGCCACTGGGGCTGGGAGCGGTGGCTCATGCCTGTAATCCCAGCACTTTGGGAGGCCTAGGTGGGCAGATCACTTGAGGTCAGGAGTTCAAGACCAGCCTGGCCAACATGGTGAAACCCTGTCTCTACTAAAAATACAAAAATTAGCCGGGCGTGGTGGTGGGCACCTGTAATCCCAGCTACTTGGGAAGCTGGGGTAAGGGATTCGCTTGAACCCGGGAGGCAGAGGTTGCAGTAAGCCGAAATTGTGCCACTGCACTCCAGCCTGGGTGACAGAATGAGACTCTGTCTCAAAAAATAAATAAATAAATAAAGCCACCAGGCAGCATGGTGTCATGACTGAGCACACGGCCTGTGACACTAGACTACATGAGTTGGAACCCCAGTTCTGCTGCTAACTCGCTGTGTGAATTTGGGCAAATGACCTCATCTCTTCCTCAGATTCTCTACCTGTAAAATGGGATGATAATAATATCCTTCTCATGGAGAATCAGATTAATAGCTGCAAAAGCATTTAGAACTATGTTTTTACATAATAAACACTATAGAAATGCTTCAAAGATTTTTTTAAAAGACTTGTAAAAAATGTAGAATTATCTTTTGCTGTCCTTGTAAAAATGTGGGGGTCTTGTTGATATCTTTATGGACCAGTTTTGTATTGTCTCAATGTGGAGTGTTTAGTTTGGCTATTTAATGTCACAGATCAAATGCAATCTCTTCATTCCAGGAGTAGGTCACATTCCTACCACAGGGACATATGGTGCAGCTTCTATGTCTAGAAGGAGCTAACATTCCACTATACATACAAACATCCAGAATCAGAAAATTATACTATAAGTTATGTATACATAGGACATATGTGTATATACATCTTGGTTTTTCAAACAGCAATGGCATTGCCTAAGGGAGCAATAGCTTTCACATCCTTCTTTGAGTTGAAAAGAAGGCTTTATTGAAGAGGACATATGGAAGGAGGTTAATTTTGGAATAGCTGAGACTTTTAGTTCTAAAAGGATTTGAGGCTGGCTTGATTAAGCACAAACCCATAGCAAGAGATGTGCTGGAGGAACAGGAGTTTGTTGTCACTGGTCTGGCCCTTGTTTAGGATTTACAGCCCAAGGATCTGCCACCAGCCAAGTGTGGTGGCAAGTGGCACCCTCGTTCTCTGGCTTGTGGCTCTCACAGACGTCATGCTATTTCCTTGTAGGCCTCCTCATTGTGAGGCCCTTTCATGATTCCCTCCCATTAACTGGCTAGTGGACTATGACAGACATTCTGTTTTCTTTCTTTTCTATATTTTCCCCTTCATCTCTATCTCTGAGGGAGAATAGGAGGAAGCAAAGTCCCATTCCCTCCCCCAGGAGATCTTGAATGCACAGGAAGAGCATCCTTCTATCTTTGTTGAGGGTGGATGAGAGTATAAATGGCTTCCAACTGAGGATGGTAGGACTGGAAGCAATCTCAGAGTCCACTGGGAAATTGCCTTACTTTTCAGTTTTCATGGCACGTGTAGAAGGAGTTAGCACAGTAGGGTAAATGGAGATTTCTTACAACTGAGGTGCCCAGACCAGGTACTCCAGCTGCCCCAGACCCTGCTTGGCCACCCTGAGGTCTGAGGGGACCCAAGATTGACAGCTCTGTGATCTTCATGGCCAGCCTTAGGTATCACTATCCAGCTCAAGGTGAGGATTCAGACCTGATTCAGACCTGATTGTAAAGTACCTGACTTTTGTCCACAGTCCAGTGGTCAGTACCTGTCACATGGACACATCTGACTCTCAGAAAGGCTAAGAACCAGGTTTAGCTGTGTTGGGAAAAAAGGACACAGGTTTGATGAATAGCTTAGCCAGTCTCTGCCACAGACAGTATGGGACCAACGGTGCTCCAAAGATAGATGCCAAATTGGAACTAAGACACACACTGCTTAACCCATAGCACAGTGCTCTCCCCACCAGACCACACTTGGTCATATCTCTCATACGTCCCCTCCCTTTTAAAAACACAGCCCACAGGCCAGGCGCGGTGGCTCACCTGTAATCCCAGCACTTTGGGAGGCCGAGGTGGGTGGATCATGAGGTCAGGAGATCGAGACCATCTTGGCCAACATGGTGAAACCCCGTCTCTACTAAAAATTCAAAAAATTAGCCAGGCGTGGTAGCGGGCGCCTGTAGTCCCAGCTACTCAGGAGGCTGAGGCAGGAGACTGGCGTGAACCCGGGAGGCGGAGCTTGCAGTAAGCCGAGATCGCGCCACTGCACTTCAGCCTGGGCGACAGAGTGAGACTCCGTCTCAAAACAAAACAAAACAGAAAACAAAAACAAAGAAACACAGCCCACAAAAGGTGCCGAAAAGGGATCCAAGGAGAAAGTGGTTGAGCCATTTTTTTGAAGTGAGCCTTGTTGATCTACAGAACAATGAGGTTGCATTTAGAAAATTCAAGTTCATTACTGAAGGTATTTAGGGTGAAGATTGCCTGACCAACTTCTGTGGCAGGGATTTCACCCACGAAAAAATGTGCTCCATGGTTAAAAAGTGTCAGACCAGGTATGAAGTTTACGTTAATGTCAGAGCTACTGATGGTTATTTGCTTCATCTCTTTTGTGTTGGTTTTACTAAAAAAAAAAAAAAAAAAAAAAAGAAAAAGCAACAATCAGATTCTGATGACCTCCTACACCGAGCAACTATAGGCCTGCCAAGCCTGAAAGAAGATGATAGAAATCTCGACCTAGGAGGTACAGATGGATGTCTTGGAAGAAGTGGCCATTGAATTGATAGCAGAAAGCGCTGGAAAGACATAGGAGAGGGTTGCCAATCTAGTTATCCTCTCTATAATGTGTTCATTAGAAAAGTGAAGCTGAAGATGCCCAACTCTGAACTGGGAAAACCTAGGGAGCCTCATGATGAAGGTAGTGGTTCTAGAAAAGCTACTGGGGTGAGACAGATGCTAACGTTAAACAAGCTGATGGATAAAAGTCCGAGAATCTGTTTAAAAATTCAAACTTTTAATGGTGACAAATAAAACATATTATTTGTCGGGAATTTAAGAAACACATCTCATTAATTACACTTCTAGTCTACCGTAAGTCAATTCCACTCACAGGCAAGGCTTGGTGTAACTTAGGAATCCCACAATGAAGTTCAGCCCCGCCTCTCAGAATGACAGAGAATTTCCACTGTACTATGAACTCTTTGTAAAAAAAAATCAGCATCTGCATCTTCAGCTTTGCTTTTTTCTTACCTCTTTCGGTCCTTCCCCACTTGCTTGTTTCCTGAAGACCAGGGGGCAAGATGAAGGTTACTGCATGGTTCACTGCAAACACTGTCTCTCAGTTTTACCTCAACCTTTGATTCAGATGTTTTCACTTCCTCCTCTTCTTACGTATGGCCCTTTGGTCTCTGTCCCCTAGGCTGACTTTCATCATCCAATTAGAAATAACACCGTCTTCTTGCTACCATTTCTCTGGGAACCGTAGGGAGTAGACCCCCAGCCTCCTGCACTCCCCACAGGGGCCAGCCGAGCTTCAAAGGAGTGTGTTGGCAGCACCACCTCACGGCTGGGCTTCCTTTCTGTTTGAACAGCTTCCATTGCTCACTGTTGATCAGTAACTCAATGATTCATTAAACACACAAACAATGAGTGAATCTGTTCCATTAGCAAGGCCACCTGTTGATCTCAGACATTCTTAGCTGAACTCGGCAAATACGAACAACAGAATGCCTACATCAGTCGAGTGCTCTGTCTCTATTTGATGGCATGTTAGAGCAGGAAAAGCAGAGTCCAGGCTTTGCTGATGCTTTTATGCTTTTCCTTTCATCTGGTGGCAGGGCTGTAAGAGTAAAATGTGGAACACAACCCACCTCTCTATAAGCAGCTGGAAAACTTTAAGAGCTTGGTCGCTGTTCCTTCCTCAGTCTTGTAGAATTAGAGAAAAAGGAGAGTGGGAATATTCTGTACCCTTTTGCTTGCAGGTGCAAGGGCAATAGAATTAACCAAGCCCTAAACACACACACACACACACACACACACACACACACACACACACACACACACACACACCAAAAGAAGAAAAACTGTAAAAGACATCTTATTGATTGCAATGACACCTTCTCTGCCTTAGAAAAAATACAATCTCTTTTCTATGTAGCTTCTGGTTCATGTAGCTGTTCCAGGCCTTTAAGAACTGGTCTACTAGTGTTTACAAGCTTTTAAAAAATATTATACTTTATTTGGCTACTAAAAGTCATATAAAGCAGACTGGGTTAAGCTGTTGATACAGGCATCACGGTCAATAAAAGTTGAAATTTTATTTTTAAAAATAGCATTTTTCCTCTCTTATAATTCCTCTTGTTATTATGATAACGAGGAGAGCTTTTATAAAGTGGGTGGTATTTGTTTGAAACCTGAAAGGTGTACCATACCAGGAATAAAGAGACACTTGTTCTTTTCTCAGTTAAATACTAAATTGCCTCTTTAGGGTGAATTTAGTATTTAAATGCATAATTATTATGATTTGTACTGTGTTAAGTTTAAATTTCTCTGCAGTGACACTGATTAAACACAGCTCAGTGTTTCTGTTTGATAGATTTATTCTAGGATATCAGTAAAAACTTGGTTGGTTGGTTGGTTGGTTGGTTCTTGTAATCAAATGGAAGATGAAGAAGCAGAAGGAAACAACTCTTCAAATAAAATTCCAGTTCCTATGAATTTATTATGTAAAATATATAAAATCATGAGTTTTAAATTTCCCACTGGATTTCGGAAATGACTGTTGCTAGTGGCTGGTTTACTTTCATTTGTGTGGCACTGGAAATGACAGAGTGCCAGGTGAGGAATTCAGTTTGTGTCTCTTTTGTAAATATTCTTTTGCTTTGGGAGGACATGCTTTGAGCTACACACATTCAGAATGAATAAGGTGAACAGATTGAGGCAGGCAGACCCCACTACTTGGATTCTCTAGGCAGGTGTGAGCATATCTCGCTCATCCAATACATAAAAGACCACGTGCATTTTCAAAGGGATTTCTGCAATCCCTTTTGCAATCTTTTGACAACCACTACTATGATCTGATTGCCCAATGCAGGTGCTTGTGCAGCCGCCCCACTGTGCCATCAAAAGAATCCTCAGATTCTTCTGACTAAAAGGGACAGGCAGAAGAAGTAACTTTTTAAAAAGACTAAAAAGGAAATAGCCACATAAAATGAAAAATTAGATGGAAGGTGAATAGCTATCCCCTCCTGTGATTAGATTGTCACCATCCAATAGAACTTTCTGCAGTGATACAAATGTTCGATACCTGCACTAACCAGTGTGAGAGCCACTAGCCACATGTGACTACTGAGCATTTGAAATGTGGCTAGTGTGACTGGGAAATTAAAATTTAATTTTAATTAATTTAAATTTAAATATGCACATGTATTTAGTGGTTGTCATTGTAATATCCCCCAAGTGACTAGGTTGGTTTCCTACCTTCATTGTAAGCTCTCAGTAAGTATTTGCTGAATCAAAAAGATAAAGGTGATCATGGTCTATCTCCCTTAATACTCTTAGGTGCTTCTCCTGGCCTGAGGATTCCTACTTACTGCAGGTCTTGCCTCCTCTACCCTTGGCTCCGGCTATCCAACCTGTTTCTCCATCCTTCAACTTGCCCTTAACCTTCCTTTTTCTGTGTTTTTGTGTGTTCCATTCTCTTCAGCTGGAATGCTCTTCTTCCCACTTGTCCATCTTGGCAGACCTCTGCTTATAACCCAGAAATATTACTTTCTCTGGGAATGCTATGCCAACTGCCCCAAATGGATATAGTCACTCCTCTTGGTTCCCATAGTGGTGTAGTGTAAATATCAGAGCAGTGGTGTCTTAGGGCAGACCCTCTGATCTGTGCTAAAGTGTTTATGAATGTATTAGTCAGGGTTCTCTAGAGGGACAAAACTAATAGGATACATGCATATATGAAGGGGAGTTTATTAGGGGAATTGACTCACATGATCACAAGGTGAAGTCCCACAATAGGCCATCTGCAAGCTGAGGAGCAAGGAAGCCAGTCTGAGTCCCAAAACCTCAGAAGTAGGGAAGCCAACAGTGCAGTCTTCAGTGTGTGGCCAAAAGCCAGAGAGCCCTTGGCAAACCACTGGTATAAGTCCAAGAGTCCAAACGGTGAAGAACTTGGAGTCTGATATTTGAGGACCGGAAGCATCAAGCATGGGAGAAAGATGAAGGCCAGAAGACTTAGCTAGTCTTGTCTTTCCATGTTCTTCTGCCTGCTTTTATTCTGGCCATCCTGGAAGCCAATTAGATTGTGTCCACCCAGATTGTGGGTGGGTCTGCCTTTCCCAGTCCACTGACTCAAATGTTAATCTTCTTTGGCAACACCATCACAGACACACCCAGGAACAATACTTTGCATCCTTCAATGCAATCAAGTTGACACTCAATATAATATTAACCATCACAATGAGGAAATTCCCAAAGGAAACTGGGAAAGTAGTGGGGAGGGGTGCACAGAGGTGAGGGGAAGGAGGAAGCCAAGGGAGTGTACAATCACAGACAAATTCGATCATCTTTTGCCCAATCTGCAGGCAAAGTCAATAATTATACATCAGGCCTCAGAGTTGTCCTAACCTAAGGCAAAGGAACTGGAGTTTTCATACCCTCATATCCAGCAGGTATGGGTCAAGAACCACCCCAGGGGACATGCACTCCCTAAGACACTTTGGTTTCTCCATTTGTGTGGGCAAAGGAGACTCAAAAGATAGTTCTCCAAGAAAGAGTGCAGGTGTTGGCTGTAGGAAGTGAAGCCCATGTGTGTGGGAATGGCAGTAAACTGTGGAGGTGGGGTGGAGCAAGCAGTACAGAAATGTTGAGAAATGATCCTGAAGTGATCCCCTGAGGGGGTGGGGTGGGAGTGACAGAATTGGGTCTATCTGGGTTGCAAACTCAGATCTATCTTTTCCTAGAAAAGTGACCTAATTGTTTTCAGCCTCATTTTCCTCCTCTGTAAAATTTAGAAAATAATTGTATATAACTCTTAGGCTTAAGGTAAGCTTTTTTTTTTTTTTTTTTTTTGACAGAGTTTTGTTCTTGTCATCTAGGCTGAAGTGCAATGGCTGTATTTTGGCTCACTGCAATCTCCACCTCCCTGGTTGAAGCTATTCTCCCGCCTCAGCCTCCTGAGTAGCTGGGATTACAGGTGCGAGCCACCATGCCCAGCTGATTTTTATTTTCAGTAGAGATAGGGTTTCACTATGTTGGCCAGGCTGGTCTCGAACTCCTGACCTCGGGTGATCCACCCGCCTCGGCCTCCCAAAGTTCTGGGATTGCAGGCATGAGCCAACATGCCCAGCCGTGGCTTAAAGTAAAAGTTAAAAAGGATAATGTACTTAAAGTATTTAGCATAGTGTAGGGTACCTAGTAAAAAGTCTAAATATTGCAGACATTATTATAACATTATATTTTATTGTGATTACATATCCAATTCCTCCATCAGACTTGAGATTCTCCAGGGAGGAACCTACTCTATTAGTCTTCCAATCGCTGGCACCTAAGCCAATGCCTGACCCAGAGTAGCTGTCTAAACAATATTTCTTGAGTAAATGAATAGTGTTCCACTTTGAACCTAATCTCTCTTAAAATCTCTGATGCTATAATCCACTGAAATGCTCTATTCATGTGGCTATTTTGCCAGTTAGACCATAAGGGTAGGAGGGTTTCTTATTCTTTTTTGATTGCCTTAAATGTAGCACAACCTGGTACATGACAGTTGCTAAATAATTGTTTGTTGAACTGATGTTTGTTGGGTAAAGGTCCACCATGTTCCAAGGGTAAGACCATTATGAAACCTTAAGGGATATTTTCTCTACTTTAGAGTTTGTTTGCAGACAGTGGTCTCAGATCCCTTATGGTTCAGTACAGGAAAACAGAAACCACTGTAGGTTTTTCATGCAGGATGTGATTTAATAGAGGGAATTAGGTGCTATGGTAGGCAGAATTTATCAAATGGTTCCCCAAAAATCTTATACTGTAATTCTATAAGCTGTAAGTATGCTAATATAACACTCCTGTGATATATTATATGACTCAGTTTAAGAAAAGGAGATTATCTAAGGGGCCTGATCTAATCACATGAGCCCTTAAAAGCAGGCAGCTTTCTCCTCGTAAAGGAAAAGCAAATCAGAGTTAAAGTGTGGGGATGGATTTGACACAAGGATTCTGCTGCTGGCTGTGATGTTGTGAGAAGGACTCCACGTGGAGGATGCAGGAGGCCTTGTGGGAAGGAACGTAGGTGGCTTTAAGGAGTTGAGAGAGGCCCCTGGTTGATGTTAGCAAGGAAAGGGGAATGTCAGTCCTAAAAGCAGGAGGAAGTAAATTCTTCCAACCACATGAATGAACTTGGATGTAGATTCTTTCCAGCGCCTCCAGATAAGAGCTCAATCTGACTGACCCCTTGATTTCAGCCCTGTGAGAACCCAGAGTAGAGAACCAAGTTGAGCTCACCTGCTCTACGGAAGTGTGTGATAAGTGTTGTTTTAAGGTGCTAAGTTTGTGATAATTTGCTATATAAATTTTTTTAGTAAAATGAAATTGCTGCAACTTCCATTGCCTTCCATTGCCTGAAACAAATAGGAATAGAAAGCAAATATGAGTGCTTACTACATTGCAGAAAAGACTAGAACCAAGAAAGTACTATGCTGTGGAAAAGACTAGAACCAAGAAAGTAAGGTGGATTACTCTTAGCTTTCAGGTTATGTCACACAGGTTGCCACCTGAGGTCAGGAAATAATAACTGGCCCACAGCCTTGAAGCTGGTGCCTAGAGGTGACCAGCCAGCTACTATGTTGGTCACATCTGTGGGAGCTCATACTCAAGTCACCACCACCACCATTGACAGAGGAAGAGGCATCTCTTGCTCTCTTTCCCCTTACAGATATCTCACAAATGAATTTCATTGTCAAATGTAAGTCAAATTCAGAACCTTGGTGGAAAGCAAATCTGGGATATGTAGTTCCCAGGCTTCTGGTGCCTGAGATAAAGGGGAACATATATAAAGGTGGGGGGGGATAATGCTGATTGACCATGAATTTTACCCAATATGGCTCTTCAGACTTTCAAGATCCCTTTAAGTCAGCATTCTCATAGGAGTTATTATTTTCATTTTACAGACCAGAAGACTGAGCTTCAATTGGGTTAAGTATCTTGCCAAAGTTTCATAAATGGTATGTAGCAAAACCGAGAGTAGAACTAAATCTCTTTCTCCCCAAGCCTACATTTTTCAGGCTCTGCAGCTGGCGATGGCCTGCAGATGGAATTTATATTATTGGCTGACAATTGGGCCATGTAGACTCAACTGAGAAGGCAATGGAAGTTGCAGCAATTTCATTTTATTAAAAAAAAAGTTCTCCTGGTAAAGGGCTGCTATTAGACTCTTGGAATCCTGTCCAGCTTCATCTTCTCCTCCCTTCTGTCATCCAAGCTTCCTCCTTGGCCCACATTCCCTAACTTTGCACACAAACCTTGCAATGTATGCTCTGATTTCTGGGTTAAATTTGGTGAAGGGCATCCCCTGCTGTCCTTTTACCTGGTGAATACATGGAATTGGCCCTTCTCCTCTGCGTTTAGGGTCTCACTGCCCTCCCTCATTAGTTGGGATCTGGCGCTGGGCTATGAGCAGCATCAGTAGTATCCTCTACTAAAGGGAATCATGTAGCATTTCCCCCAGACAGCTCTATCTTCCCTGCATACCAATCCAATTACAAACAAATTGGGCCACAGGCTCAAGCATGAGAGCAATTTGGCCTTCTCTCCTCTACTGCTGACAGCTTTAAATCTGCTCCCTTTAAAAACTCAACTCCAGGAGGGGATTTTAGCACCCAAGCTTAAGAGCAGTGGGTGCAATTATCCCAAATATCAGGGTGCCGAGAGACTTAGAGGAAGAGCTCCAGATAATATTTTTCAGGGAAAAAAAAATTAAAGAGACAGGTTCTTTGGGATTTCCCCATGGCTGCAGGTTAGAGTCTTGGAGGCTGGTCTTTGCAGGTCTGTTATTAACTTGGCCTGACTTGATCGGCTCTCTCTGGATTCCCTTTTCCTCTCTGGCTGGTTGCCTTTTCTCTCCTGGACTCTGCCTTAGTGGTGAGGAATTCATTCCTAGGTTTCTGGAGGGAGAGAAAGAATGTTTCAGCTGTCTTTACTATGCCTTAAAAGACATAGTTTTTTTTTTTTGAAACATATGCTCATAGTTTGATAGAGCTGAACTCACATAAAAGCAGAGCATCTTCATATGGGGTGACAAGTGGACAGCCCACCTCTTCAGAAAGCCCAGGATCAGCCAGGCTTTCTCCCCATGATGAATCCCATGGGCAAGCTGCTGGGGGAGTTGTGTGAATTTGCTCCTTCTGCCTTTTAAAATGTCCATTTAAATGTACTTTAAATTGAAAATCCAACGTAACTAGAAAGAAAAACAGATATGAAGTAAGATTGTACATGTAGGGTTTTTTTTAATCAAAATTTTCCAAGTTCAGGTTTTCTTGAACTGTAATTATTGTGGGTTACATCTTGGCATTGATGCTTAACGTGCTACCTCCCTTTCCTTTGCCTTTTTGAGGGAAAGATCATTTGCCATTTTCTATCATCACACCAGCCACACTTTCCACATGAGGACCCACTGGGGTTTCTAGGGAAATTCACTTGAGTGAGGTGCCCAGCTGGCTGTGAGGCTGGGGCATTTCCCTTTTCATCCCCCATCAGGGGGGCCTCTCCTACACAAAGTTTGCCTCTCCCACACCACTCTTCTTTTCCCAGAGGTGTCTCCAGTGATTTCTAGGATGATCTAGAAGAACTTACTGAGATCTTTAAATAGTGAAGTGAAGTGGGTAGGTGCATTCTCTGCTCTCATGGAGTCTAGGGCCCCAGAGGGAAGCAGATAGGTATGGCTATTGCAGGAAGTAAAAGCAGTGCTGGGATGGGAAGAAAGGTGCCAGGAGAGCATGACAACAGGGTACGTAACCCCAGCTTAGCAGGAAGACTTCCTAGAAGAAAAGGCCATCAAGCATAAATATGTTAATAACATTGCCACAGTCTCTGTGACGGGTGTCAGAAACTGACTCAAGTAGAGAATAAAAGTGAGTGTCGCTAAGGGGAAATCCATCAAGGGAGAGCCTTCATGGGATCCACTTGGATGGACTGCAACAGTACCATGGCCATGCCAATGGACTGTGCAGCTGCACTTTGATGGCCTTTGACTCTCCATCACTAAGTCAGTCAAAGGGCCAGAGCTCCTCCTCCTTTATTTCCTGTCTCTCTTAAGCAACAGCTGTGTAACTCAGTGCCTCTTGATGGGGAAATGTTGAATAGGAGAGAGGAATCCCTAGAGGTCTGTGTGGTGAGGGGAGTGGGAGATGAGGCTGGATTTTCCTTCGGCTCAGTTATGGCACCTGCCTCACTTCATCTGAGCTTTCAGCCCTCAGGTCATGATAGAAAAGAAGATGCTGGGATCATCCTGTCAAACTGTCAAATTTGGGGGTGAATGAAATATTCACTAGGGAGCTCCAAGAAGCCAGAAAACTCGTATTTACTTTCAACTGGGGAGAATTTGAACCTATGTCTCCAGATTTGTAAGTCCAGGATATTAATTCATTGTGACATCTGGTCCTTCTCTTTGATATTTTAAAAATAGGCTAGAAATAGAATTGTGAATCCATGCTCCAAAGATTCTGGGAAAGAATGCAACTCTGAATGTATCTTGTTTATCCAGCAGGTCTGGTCATTTGTGTAACACGATATTTCATCCATTAGATGCTGTAAGCCAAATTCTAGTGCAGGGTTTCCATTTTGTTTAAATTGTCTATGAAAGAAAAGAATGTGGGAATGTCTGTCTTGCCATTTTCAAGGACTGTGGTGGCACCAGTAGCTGGCTTCTGGCTTCTAGTTTTTGCTACAGCCACTGGAAAATTTAGGACTCTCTCACAATCCTAAAGGCTGGGAACTAGAAAGAAAATTCAGCAGTATGTAACAAGAGCCATAATGATGTGCTCTTTGTTCCAATCAATCCACTCCTGTGAATGTCAAAGAAATGTCACTCGACAGACCCACAAATCTACATTCTCAAAGATGTTCCTCTAGAATTATTTTGTAAAAGGGAAAAAAAATGTAAAAACCACCAACATGTTCAACATTATGGACTGTTTTAAAAATGAGGGCACATTAACTTGAAGAAATATTATGCAGTCCTAAGATAATTATGAAAGCTATGCACATTCACAAATGTCTCTTGGATGGCTGCCATATGCCAGTGCTATTATATAGTATAGAAATATGCAGATTGCAAATCTACGTACTCTATGATATTAGCTACGTAAAAGATGTGTGCTGAGGGGAGAAAATCTGCAGAAATGTTATTAGTAGATAGGGTTATGGATGATTGTATGTTGTTTAATAAATTTGTTACATTGTCTTAAGTGTCAACGGATGTAAACAAATTATGATAAGAGTACAGAAGAAGGTGCTGCTAGTTTGAGAAAGACTTCTGACTATTTTTAAGTGTGAGAGTGATCACTTCTTCATTATTAGTTCATTTATATTTACACAGCACCTACTAAGTACTAGAAAATATAGCAGTAGTTAAGACAGACACACAATCCTTATAATTTTTAGTCAGGTCTGTTTTACTTTATTAATCTTATACTTAATGAATATTTGAATTTAGAAAGTCTCCTTTATAATTATCTATACTGATTTCCCTCTTTTCTATCTCCTTCTTTTCCTCCTTCCTTCTAAAACATTTGTTATAGAGATGGAATTTAAGTCATAGAGAAAGTAATTTGCTGAGATCACAGGGCTTGCTTGCAGCCAACCTGATATTAGACTGATTCTTGGTTTACTTGCACCCTTACTTCTCTCCTGTAATCCCTGAATTTCTTTTAGATATAAAGTTGGAGAATCAACAAGTCTTATTTGGAATCACAATTTAATCGTATTGGTCAGGGAGAGAATGATACAAACAAGCACTTCTCAAGCTATGTCCTATGTAGGCATCACTGGAGGATCTCGTCCAAATACAGAACTTGATTCTGTACTCTGGGTTGGAGCTTGAGGTTCTGTATTTCTCACGAACTCCCAGGTGATTCTAATGTTACCTTTTCTTGAGTTGCAAGGAACTAAAGGGTAGAAAATAATGGAATTTAACTTTTAGCCAGTGTTCTTTTTAGTTTTGTCATCGAGGAAGTAACAATGTCCATTTTTTTTACAAAATCTAAATTTTCTATCACTAACTACTGATACATTTTCCTTTTCCCAATTGGCATTCACTCTGCATCTGGGTCTCTCTCACACAAAATGGTCATGAAAGACGGAAATATTCTAGATCCACGCCACTAAGAGATAATGGAATAGGGACTTGTGCCTCGGTTATCTGACTCCCAAACCCTTGCTTGGCTCTTACCCACTAGGATGCATGGCCCTCACCTTGCTTTCCCATCACCCAGTGGTCAAAGGCCAGGTCTTTGGAGTTAAGACCAAAACTGGGTTCAAAGCCTAACTAAGCACTCAATACTAGGGGTGAGTTACTGCTTTTCATCTTTAAATGTGGATAATAATAACAGTGATATCCTTCAATGATTGTGTAGATTAAATGAGATAATGTACACAAACCACTTTGCCCAGGGTCTGGCATGAAATTAGTGCTCAATAAAGGTAGGTATTATCATTGTATTGAGTTGAGTTTGAATCTCATTTTGAATACTTGACCTAGAGGAATTCACAGCCTAGTAGTTGAAGTAGAAAGGAAATTAAATAATTTTATTTAATATTAATATTTAATTGAACATACTCTAAATACAAATAAATATAAACATATAAATAAAATTCTAAATAAATAGTAATGAGGATATATATAAAGCATACACATCTATGAATCTATGCATATTTATATAAACATAAATACATTTAAATATTTCATGTATTTAATTAATGTTTACACAATAACTATATAAATATACAGACAAATATAAATTAGAGAAATAAACATATATACATATATAAAGTATAAATAAAACATAAATACATAATAAAAATGTAATATAATTTAAATTTAAATAACACATTAAATAATTTGTTAATAAACAAATATATGTAATTTTTATATATAAATGCAACAATTGTTAATGCAAATGTGTTTATGAATAATAGGGAGACTCAGAGATGTAACTATAAAAACTTCCTGGATGGTGAGAGAGAACTTTTGACCTGAGTCCTGAAGGATTAGAATGAGGTTAGGGAAAAGCATTTTGTGCTGAGGGTTCGGAGTAAGGAGGGCAGTAGGCAGCAAGACTGTAATGAAGATTGGTGCTGGTTTGTAAAGTGCTACTAAATCATGACCTTTACCTATGGACTGTGGGAAGCCATGAAAAGGTGGTTTTAAGCAGACCAGGGATGTGACTAGTGTGTATTTTTATTATAGCAAGTAAATCTGTAGGGTGGTTACTTGGTTAGAAATCCTTTGGTATGCTCTCTGCTTCCTTCAGGGGTCTAAAGTGTTTTCCAAGCATCATCAAACCCTGCAACAGTCTTTCAAAACAGTCCTAGCCATTGAAAATGTAAGGGAGAAACAGTCACTGTGTAATAGGGTATATTCTCATTGGTGTATCCCTGGGTTCTAAAATTTCACATTCAATGCTGAGGTTTGTGGCAATTTCATGGAAAAGAAAACAACAAAAACGACAAATGGTTCATCCAAAAGATGTATGAGAGGAAAAAAAATCAAAGATAAAAAAGGGTGAACACAGAGAAATACCTTATTTATGTTCCTATTGTTAACTACTGATTTATTCTTAGAGACCCTTCCCCTCAACCTGACCTTGAAAAGAATGAATTCTCAATGTGGTAGGATTGTTTGATTAAGAGACAGGTAAAAACTGAAGGTAGAATGCTGTGATGATGGAGGAAATACCTAATTCTCTTTTCCTTCATCACTGGCTAACTCATGCAGTTGGAGATAAAAAAAAAATTCTGAAATTAGAGTCTGATAAAACCTTTCATATCATTTCTGTATAGGCTGTTTGTTGGCCATCAGATGCACAGATCTGCGTATCTCTATTGGCCTCTGTCACAGGAACAGCATCTTAAGGTCTCATTCCATAATGTATCATGCAAAAATAAAATGATAATTACACTTCACATTTCCTTTCATCTAAGGATATTATTCTTCCAAACATTAACTAATAAAGACACATAACACTCTGTGAGATAGGTGAATATTATTGTGCTGTTTTATGGATGAGGAAGATGATTAAAAAGGAGATTAAGCAATTTGCCTACAACAAGGTGAGTCTGTAGATATAGGAGTCAAATTTCTACCCTCTGAGACGAACACAATAATTGCTAAACCAAGATAAAAGCCTTTACTTATTCTTTTAGAATGATAGTACAAAATTGAATCATGGCTTTTCACTCCTAAGTTACCCAAGAATCCAGAGATCATCCAAAACAAAAAATATGTATATTTCAAAAAGAAAGAGTCTCATATTTACCTATACGAATTTGTTTCTTCATCATTTAATAGAACCTCAGGACATAGTGTTTTGTTCCTTACCTAATTTGGAACTGTATCATAATCTTTTCAAAGAAGAAAGGCATGGAGGTTTTTTATTATCTAGCATACGCTATGTATTCTAAATCTATTCTGCAATTTAGATCTATGTCTTATAGGATGCTCCTAACACAGTACTCTCCTGCCTTAGAATAATTTTGTAACACTTGTTAGGAGGTAGGGTTCTCATGTATTTTCACTAGAAATATCAGTTATACTTTATCAATCACTTATGTGACACACACTGTGCTAAAGGCTCAACATAATTTGTATTTATTACTTTTACTATGCAAAAGATACTATTTCCATTTCACAGATGAGAAATTTGTAGGTTAAATAGGTTAGCAAACTTGCTCAGTAGAGATAACCTAGTTTGGAGTCTGTAGAGCTTGGAATCTGTCCCAAGATTTTCTGACCCACAACCTCACTATTCTGAGTATCAAATCTTAAGCACAAAATTAGAATTCTTTCCTAAAGAATAATAAAAGTTTAATATATAAAAGGACTTCAAAAATGTCACGGAAAATGCATATCACGAAAAAAGTAAGCATAGATTTCAAAAATTTTTTTGAACCAAAATAAACTCGTATTAACTTATAGCATGTCAAACAGGACCTAGTGTGAGACACTAAGAAGGATAAACATCAATTTAAAAACAGCCTTTATCTGAACAACATGAATTTTGCTAAAATTGAAGCAAGAACAAATATCAAATTTATGGTAAAGCTTGGGTGGAAGAATGGCAAAATTATTGATGTTTTATGAAAAGTTTATGGTGGCAATGCCCCAAATAAATGAACAGTTTACAAATGACAACTTGTTTTAAAAAGAATGAGATGATGTTGAAGATGAGGCATGCAGTGGCAAACCATCCATATCAATCTGTGAGAAAAAAATTTCATCTTGTTCGTGCCCTTCTTGAAGAGGACCAATGATTAACAGCAGAAACAATAGCCAACACCACAGACATCTCAATTAGTTCAGCATACAGAGAGTTCTGATTAAAAAATCAATGTTAGGCAAACTTTCCACTTGCTGTGTGCCAAAACTGTTGTGCCCAGATTGGCTTCAGACAAGAGCAGAGCTTTCAGTGGAGATTTTATGTAAATGGGATCAAGATCTTGAAGCCTTTCTTTGAAGAATTGTAACGGGAGAAGAAACATGGCTTTACCAGTATGATCCTGAAGACGAAGCACAATCAAAGCAATGGCTACCAAGGAGGGAAGGGGTCCAGTCACAGCAAAAGAGGACTAGTCAAGAGCAAAGGTCAGGGCAACAGATTTTTTGGGGCAGCTCATGGCATTTTGCCTGTTGACTTTCTGGAAGGCCAAAGAATGATAACATGTGCTTATTATGAGAAGGTTAGCCAAAACTTTAGCAGAAAATGCCCAAGAAATCTTCACTAGAGTCCTTCTCCAACATGATAATGCTCCTTCTTATTCTTCTCAACAAACAATGGAAAATAATTAGGCATGCAACTTATAGTCCTGATTACCTTCTGAGTTTTTTTGTTTGTTTGTTTTCTAATCTTAAAAAAGTCTTTAAAGGGCATCCATTTTTCTTCAGTTAATAATGAAAAAGACTGCATTGACATGATTAAATTCTCAGGACCTTCAGTTGTTTAAGGATGGATTAAATGACTGGGTACTTATAAGAGTGCCTTAAACTTGGTGGAGCTTATTTTGAGAAAGAAACGAGGGTAACAACACACACTGGGGCTGGTGGGGAGTCAGGGAGGGAGGGAGAGCATAAAAAAAAGAAAAGCTAATGGATGTGGGGCTTAATACCTAGGTGATGGGTGATAGGTGCAGCAAACCACCATGGCACATGTTTTCTTGTAACAAACCTGCAAATCCTGTATATGTGCCCCGGAACTTGAATAAAATAAAATAAAGTTTATATTTTTTATTTTTATCTTTTAATTCCACTTTCCACAAACTTTTTGAGGTCCCCTCCTATGTCTTTTCTTGTGCTTTAGCTTCCATTAAAAAGAGGTTAAAAACATGAATATACTTTTCTACCCAATTACAATGGCAGTGAAAACTTGTAACTCTTGCTTATAGACCCAGATATAGATTTTCTTCGCAGAATAGGGTAAATATTCTACTGTTAGTTGGTATCCTCTATCTCCCCAACCACATCCACCATCTCCCACAGGATACATATTTGTTGGTGGTTGTCAAAAGTTCATTTTGTTTTCTCCTTTCAAAGTCTTTTTTGTCCTGTATTTAATTTTAGTTCCCTTTCCTTTTTTTTTGACTTTTCTACAAAAAGTTGGCAATATCTGAAGCTCCATCCTCTCCTTATTGTGATAACATTCCAACTCTATTACTTTTTACCTTGTTGGTTCCGTGGAGGACATCCTAAGGATTGTTTGTTTTGCTCAAGGACTGGTAAATGATGTGTTTCAGAAGTGACATTTTGACTTGTAGAGGCCAGGCAATTTGGACATGGAGAGAATTTCTATAAATCCCACATGATTTTCTGTATTTCAATGCTGTCATCTTAAATGCAGCATCTGTAGCATAAAACTGCCAAAGAGGGTCATATTTTTATTTTTACCAATAATTCTAGGTGACCTGGTTTAGCCCAGATCCAACAACTTGGATTCTTTACTGACTTTTCTATTAATCTGAACATGAAAGATTTGATGTAGTATAAAATATCTCTTTGGCACTGCCACATGAAAATATATACACATGCTACTTCCAGAAAACAGTCTTCTTGAAGAACAAGATGAAAATTTAATGGCAGCTTTAATTTTAACTTAAGACACTTACAAGATTACACTAGCAAAAAAGAATTCACCACCAGCTGCACGTCTGAGAGACCAAGGGACTGATTAAGTCTGTCACATGGACAACATCTAACTCTTCGAATGGTAGGTGTGCACTACAGTTTGCAGTAAGTCTGTTACCAGATGAGCCAACTTCAAAGATAGTGGTGGGCGGCGCAGAGGATAGTAGGAGGTGGGGAAGCATCAAAAGCTTCAAAGAAAGTTGGGGTTAGTTTTTTTGCCAAAAGTTATTTAAAGTCACTGAACACAAAGATATTTTGAGGCATGTTGATCATGACCTAATATTTATTTTCAGTTTTTGCGACATTAGTATGCAAAGACAGATTAAGTAAATAATGCAAATTAATTGCATTTATATTTTAAACAAAAGAGTAGTTCAAATGCAAGTAGGAGACATCCTGTCTACAAGGATATTTAGCCAATAGCTTGATGCATGTGGTTGCAAAGAAGATTGAGTATTATCCAAGAGACACAGATGGGATGATTTAGGCACAAACAACTTTTATTTTGTTACTTCTGTGCACTCTCTTGGACATACCTGCCTTCATAAAAATTATATTCGTGTACATATAAAAGCCTTAAATATACATCAAGAAATTATATATAAAGCCCTTTCTTGGCAAATATCTAGGATTATTAAACTTTAATATGTTACAGATTTATATTCTTTACAGATTTGTTATAATTTAAAAGTTAAATGTTGACAGTTCATAGTTACACATCTTTTATTTAAGATTTCTGTTGAAATAACATTTTCCACCTGATTTGAAGCAGCAGTTTCTAGGATTTTTAAAAACGCATACATATTGTGAATGTACTAGGTGATACAGTCAGCTTGAAGTATTTTTAATACTAGGAAACTCTTAGGCTTGAGATGTTTTTTAAAACATTTTCCAAAGCCCCTCAAGTGCCCACTAACGTATTTGCCTTTTCTAAGTGGACTACTAGGAAGCTTAAGGCCAAGTTTGTAGCCCACCTCCAGTAAGGCATAGTATTTCATGATATGCTTATTTGTTTACTAGCTTCCATAAATTATTTTCTCACCTCTTGTTTCCTTTTAAACTTTTTTTAAAGTTTAATATTAAATTTTTAAATTTTAAACAACTTTCTTTTAAATTTTACCTAGTCTTGTCATTCTACGTAAGCCACTTTAAAAATATTTCTGAAACCAAGTAGAAATGAATGAAACAAAAATACCTATGTTTTGATACCTATAGCTAATTCGTGATATAAATGCCACAGCTTTAACGGCCTTTTTGCTGGGCAACATAGAGTTGTCTAGATTTCCAAGGGTAAAGGGGAATTAGAAATATTATTATAAATAATTAACTCATCCAGGTCATAATGAGGATAATTATTTTTGTGTATCTTTATCCCTCTGGGATATGCAATAATTGCATCTGTTCTTTGCCAGGAAATATTTAAATATTGTTATTGGTTGAAACAAAATGCAAACCTTTGTCTGGCCTCATTCGATGTGTCCAAAGATACAGAGAAGGTAACACCCAGATTCACATTTACTAAGGGATTCCAAATAATGCCCTAAATGACTATTTTGGAGCTCAGTTACATGCAGGTGGTAGGAGGATTTATGCTGTGAATGCCTAAAATACTTTCTCCACCGAGGGGAGATTATTAAGTCCTAGTGAGCCTGAGTGTTCGGTGCCAATACTAACCATTAACTTTTGGCTCTGAGCCACGACTGTCTACTCTGCAGTGGATTCTGCCACCAAGGGGAAGGTCATTAAGGGCTGTTCTTTATTCTCGTTAGTATGTTCCAACATAATTAACAGAAGTTGTTCACCAGATGGTTTCCTTCCTGTCAGCAAGTACCTCCAGCTTAATGGGCTATGCAGGATTCTTTACTTTAAGTGGGTGAGGCGGGAAGCAAATTTAAAATATATCATCTTTGATCCTCCCACTTCTAATTAGTTCTAAAGGTTTTAGATAATAACGTAAAGGGGGCAGTGAAATGGAATCATCCTAAAAATCAAAGAATCACAGAAGGCTATCAGGAGTTTTACACATACCATGGGGTGTTTCTTCCTCCCTAATAAGTCTCCACCCAGCACCAAGAGAAGTATAGAAATAACTGTCAGCTTACCACTGAAACATGTTTATAGTGCCTTAGAGCTAAAATGAATTTAAAATCTGGTAATAAAATTCAATAAGTGCTTACTGAGTTCCCACTGGGTTTTGGAAATTGTCTTGGGTGCTTGGGATATAAGAGCAAGTTACCTCTCTTGCCCCAGAAGTTAGAGAGTAACGGATTCAGACATGTAGGCAGGCCATTTTTAGTAGAGTTTGGTAAGTACTGTACCAGATACTTTTGGTCTCCAACCTCAGCACCGTTTCTCTTTCTTGGGAAATAAACTTTGGTCTTGTTCAGGTATGCACTCTCTTGAACATGGTATTGGATGCAAAGGAAATATGTCTAAGCCAATTTTAGCTGTCCCGTTCCCCTATGCTAATGTTCGGTTTAATAGTTGGACATGTTAGCCGCTTCTGACCGATGAATCAGGAGAGGGGTATCATTGGGAACTTGTAGGAAAGGCTTTCTTGCTCCTAAGAAAGCGCTAGGAAATATGGCCCTCCTTTCTTCCAATGTTGTGGTTGTAATACTCGGAACAGTCTAGTTACAGGGTATAAAAGCATTATAAAATACATCTGACTAGCTAAAATCAAACAGTCTCTCTCTAAACTTACTATGTTCAGAAAATGATTTTATTATAAGGAAAATAATAACAATATCTAATTCTCATTCATTATCTCCTGTGATTATTGCAACAACCTTGTAAGTCATATAGGACAGAAACTATCCCCTTTATTTAGATGAGGAAACTAAGAGAGACCGATGTGACGAGCCTGGACAAAGGTCATGGCTTCTGAAATTAAGTGCTCTTTCAACCTTACCATGTCGTTTCTTTTCTTAAACAGTCAAAGCAAAAAACTCAATCACACAGGCCAGGAACACAATGTAATTACAAAACTCTTCCCTTTTTTGGCCTAAAAAAAACAGTAATTCTGCTTCTTTTGAGCTTCCATCCTGGAATTTTAAATTCAGTTTTATTTCTTCTGTGGAAAAAAAATTGAAGTCACTTAAGGTGAAAAGGGCTTTTTAATGGGAAAATAGGTCATTAAATATCAACCTAGACTACTAATAATTAGAAGTGGTTTTAAAAGATGTTTGAGAGACAAGATGAAATGGCCTAGTTCCAGGCATTGTATGCTATCACTCCACCTAGGAAGAAGGGCTGTGACAGTGATGAGTGGGCTAGAAGACTGTGTTATAAAAACTCTGGCCAAAGTATTTATAGGCTTAATAATCATGTGCTATAACTCAGTTGCAAAGATGATTTCGCTCATTCACCAGCTGTTAGTATGCCTTTGTGTGCAAAGTGACAGAAAGCCTAACTCAATTGGTTTAAGCAAAACAGAATGTACTGGTTCACAGCACTGAATGATACTCAGCAGGTGCTCTGACTGCAGGTATAGCTTCATTTAGGGCTCAACTCCTGCCACCAGGCTCCACCTATAGGCTCTTCTTTCTCTGTGGTGGTTCAGTTCTGTCTCTGGGTGGTGGTCCCAAACTTTAGGCTTGCTGCATTATAGCACCCAGTCTACTGGAAATAGAGTCTCAAATAGAAATAGTAGTTTCAAAAAGAACTGAAATGAAGGCTAGGATTTGAATTCTGTTCACCCAGACAGTATCATTGTGGTACATTGAGCTATTTCTTGGTCACAATTCTTTACTCTGTTGTGGCAGCATTATACATCCCCTTATGGCCACAGTCTCATGGTAGGCAATGTACCATTGTATAAGCTCAGTGGCCATGGACTTGCCCATGTGACTTGTTTGGTTAATGGGATGCTAGCAAATGTTAGCATCCCATTAGCCAAACAAGATTCTTCAAGAAGAATCTTGAAGTATACAGTTGGACTTTCCCTCTTGCTGCACCCCTGCCTTTCATCATGGGAAGAAAATGCCTTTTTGAAAGACGTGTTGTGCAAGGAGGATGAAAGATGGGTCAACCCTGGATGTAGTCATCTGCTTGGAGCTAACATCATCCAAGCCTACCCTTTGTTAGTCAAACCTCAGCCACCTGCAGAAATGTGAGCAAGAAATAAATGCTTGTTATTATAAGCCACTGAGTTTTGTAATAATTTGTTACACGGCATTATGATAGCAACAGGTGACTGATAAAATCCACTAGCCCACTCTGCCCATTCCTATACCAATCTCTAAGGCAAGGGCTTGGTATGTGATTGGATAAGTCTAGGTCATGAGTTCGGCTGCTAGAAGCCAGTGGTGGATTCTGACTCACCTCTGGAATAAAGACTGAAAGGGCAAAGAAAGAAGGACACTGTTATCTAAAGAAAATTCCAAGGCCAGGCTCGGTGGCTCAAGGCCGTGCGCTGTGGCTCACACCTGTAATCCCAGCATTTTGGGAGGCCGAGGCGGGTGGATCACGAGGTCAGGAGATCGAGACCATCCTGGCTAACACGGTGAAACCCCATCTCTGCTAAAGAAACAAAAATTAGCCGGGCGTGGTGGCGAGTGTGCCTGTAGCCCCAGCTGCTCTACTCAGGAGGCAGAGGCAGGAGAATGGCGTGAACCCGGGAGGTGGAGCTTGTGCCGAGCCGAAATCGTGCCACTGCACTCCAACCTGGGCAACAGAACAAGACTCCATCTCTAAACAACAACAACAACAAAGAGGATTCCAATGGGCAAAAACAATAGATGTCTTCTACATCCATCGTCAGCAAAATCTACATTTAGAGTTGGTGATGAATTGAATCAGGATGCCACACCCTCCATGCTGAACCCTTGTAAATGACTAACAACCTGACATGCCTGTGACAAACAACTGATCAATGAAGAGGAGATGGTAATGAAGGGGAAAATCAACCTTCAGAGACTTTGTGTTGTGCTGAAGCCTCGTGCCCAGAGCAGAGCAAGTAGGTAGTTGGTCATTGTGCTGGTTGGAAAACACCTGAAATAGGTTTTGGTCCTGAGCATCATATTTCAAAAGGTACATTATTACATTGAAACCTGTGGAGAATGAGGAATCCAGAAATGTTAAAAAGAAAAAGCTGGTGCCCATTGGTAGGGCAGATGTGGGGAGGATGAAATAAGAATCAGGATCATCAAGGGAAGAGATGATAATTATTTCAAATATCATAAGGGCTGACAAATGGAAGAGAGATTGAATTTGGTCTGCATTCCTCCAAGAGCAAACTATTTTGACCTGAAGATAGGTGTTATTGTGGAAAGAATATGGGCTTTAAGATCAGGAAGAGAGAACTTAGTTCAAATTCTAGGTTACTACTTATTAGTGGTATGTCCCTGGGAAGTAACATTCCGTCTCAGTGTCTGGTGCCTCATCTGTAAAAGGGGGATGCTACAATGTAAATAGATTTGTCGGAGAGCTTCAAAAACAATTCATGAAAGGCCTGCCCCTTTGTAGGTGCTCCATAAGGGTTAGCTACTTTAATATTGGTGATATCATTATTATTAGAACTATTATTAGTACTAATGTGCTGAATACACAGGGAAGCCAATTTTAGCCAAGTATAATGAGAAAGAATACTTAGCACTGTCCAAAAATAGAATGAGCTTCTGAGTGTCTTATTGAGTCTCCAGTCCTGGGGACTGTTCCAGTAGAGGCTGGTCATAGGAACTGGCATAGAGAGGACCTTCTGGGAGTCCTGAGAGACTGTTATATGGATTTCTGGGGGTTCACTATAACTCTGAGGTCCCAAGATTCAAGAAACCATGAGCCAGCTTCATTAATGCCAGCCCCCACTGAGTGAATAGTAAAAGGTGTTAGAAATAAGGGAACCAAACATCTGGATGTACTTGGAGCAATCTTAGTTTAGACCTGTTGTCCTGGTGCAATTATGAAATCATCCACTTTCTCTCTTGACAGTGTCCCAGTTTGGAGAATAATATTAAAGGGTTACCCTAATTCTAACTACTTCAGCAAATAGAAGCTAAGCATATTCTTTTTATTTTCTAAATAAGTTATCGCCTTTCCCTGAGCCCCAGAATCACTGGTCTTTCTGGGTTCTCCTTCCCTGTGTAATGTTATTGTCATCCTCCTGTGAACTCAGCCTCATGCCTTTGGAAAGCCACTTTAGCATTTCTGCCTCCCTCTCTCCATACTTTCAATCACTTGCCAAACCCTTTTGATCCTATCTTCAACATGCCTCCCATATCTGTGCTTCTTTTAAGTCTCACCGCTTTAATTCAGGTTCTTGTTACCTCTTGCCTGGAGCATCGTAAAATCCTCCTAACAGCCCAGACTCATCCTATTATCCATAAACCCACTGCCACTGGAGTGTGCCTTTTAAAGCGTGCCATCAATCTTGCTGATTCTTTTTACTAACCTAGATAAATAAAATTGAGTTTCAGTTGTCTGAGTCTTACTGTGTCATGTAAATATGGATAGAAGGGTTTTCATCAAATGTGGAGGATATGTTTAGGACGGTGTGATTTAGAATGCAAAGTTATGTGGACTACACAAAATTCCCCTGAAGGCACTCAGGAGGGCATCTCAATGGTTTTGGTCACTAACTTCAGACCAGCTAGAAATGAAGTATGGGTCACGCAGGCTAACAACATCAACCATGGACAAAGAAAACAATGGTTTCCAATCTGAGTCCCAATTGAATGTTTAAGGGCAAGTTCTCTGAATTGCAGATGCTGACTTGCAATAGGTGTTGATTTTTCATGGAGCTGCTGTTCTCATGGACAACTCAATATAGCATTTGCTGGGGTTATTTAAACAATGTTGGTAAATGATTTCCTTGAGCAACACCAGAGAGACCAGCTAGAACAGAAAAACCCAAAAACTTCTCGGATAGCCATTCACAGTCATCTGCCCTGGTCTCTGAGTCTCTACTAAAGGTATGTTCCCCAGATGCACTATTCAGACGACATTTTGTCTCTCACCTGTGTGCGCATTAGCCTTCTTTCTTAACTCTGGCTCAGCTGTTCTTCCTCCTCAGGTGAAACATTTTCCCATCACCTCCAATTTTGGGAGTGTGCCCCATTGGTCAAGGCTCAGCTCAAATGCCACTTCTTCCATAAGACTTTGCCAGATTCTCAAAGGGTCATTAATTTCCTCCTAGAATGCTTTTCACTGTATGTTATCTATTTTTTAAGATATATTTTATTAGATTTTATTTATTAAATGTAGCTATTTGCTTATCTTTGTCTTTTCACCTGTAAGTCTCAAGGGAAAAAAATGTCTTATCTTGGTATCCACTTTAGTGTTTTGCACATGGAAATTTTCAATAAAAGTTTATTGGATTAAATGATATTTTAAAAGAGTATCTCAATTTGGTTGGGTCACCTTCTCACAAGGTGGAATTGAAGTGTTTCCTAGAAAGAGGATCATCAATGCAATGCTATACCGTTATTTAAACCATGACAGGTTCTTTTTGCTGGAGAAATACATTTGCTTTGCAATTAACAAATGATAGTTATTATCCATCTTTTTAATGTGAGGGTTTATACGTTTTCAAAAAGCTGTCAAATGCCAGGAAATGCTATGAAGACTAATCCTAATTCTTAATTCTTGGTCATTCTAATACTTAAATTCTTAAATCTGCCTGTAATATAAGAAATATGCTGAATGTACAATTGGTGGAGCAAGTTGTTCCTCTACTCACCTATTTTAGGCAATAATCTCTAGAGGGTATCAAATCTTCAGCAAAGTTGTTGGCTTCAATCGAAGCAATTTTGACTTACCTTACGTGTTCCAGTCAGTGGGATATCAGATTGCTTCCTGTGTAGTATGGAGGTTTAAACCAACAATCACAAGGGTCTATCTTTGAAGCATAAAACCCTTGGACATTAAAACTTCTTTCTGGCACCATGCCCAAGGTCAGAAATCTGCATTTTTAGCACACTTCATCTGGGATTTCTCAGCACACACGGCCTGAATTCTCCATTCTTACTCAACTTCCAAGCATGCAGTTCTGCTGAAGAAAGCCCAATTCTGGAGTCTATTAAAAAAGAAGTAGAAAAATGGAACCTCACCCTGGGCAGCCAGTGAGAAAGATGCCTTCTGGAAACAAGACAAACCATGACACGGTTATCAGGATGTCATTTAAACTGCTTAAGATGAAACTGAGCAGGACTCTTGGGTCTAGATGGGCACAAACACAGAGGAGGAGTTTCCATGAAAATGGTGAAGATGAAACATCGGGAGAATGTTAAAGGGACAGAGGTGAAAGGGCTGTTCCTGGATTGTTTCAATTCTGGCATAGAATTCCAAGGTGAAAAGTCCTAAAGCAATACGGAACCCCTAATTTGGAACTGACAGAATGAAAGAGAAGAAATAATTAGGTAGGAATTCAGCATTTAGAGAATTGCGGAAGTATAGGATCAGACACAATACTTGGCCCATTCGCAAGGGGTGGTGAAGGCGCTACCATTTGCTTCTTGAAGGAGTGTGAAACAGGAGGGTGAGGGTGAGTGTGAGGCACTGTGAGGCCAGTGGCCAAGGACAAAGCCCCTGCAGGGAGCACTCAGGGGGGACCAACGAGGAACTGTGTGTAGATGAAATCACATCTGCCTGTGATCCTTACCAGGCATGTCCAGGGTGGTTATCTCCTCCTCTTGAAGTTCTGAAACCTCGAAGGGACCTTACAGATGAGTTGGTCCCACTCTGTTGTTACGGAGAAGGAAGCTAAACACAGAGAGGATGAGTGAAGGACCCAGTAACCCAGTTTACAGAGCTAGGTCTTGAATCTAATTGTTAGGTTCTTTCCCTGTGCTTTTTCCCTTTGGACACATGCCCTTATATAAGATAGTATCCTATCACTGAGCTCCCAGTCCCTCCCCTCTGCAGGGCACCTCCCTGAGTGGTTTCAAACTTCACGCAAAGAGAAAGAGGGCACAGAATCCTAAAAGACGCCACTAACGAAGGTCTGTGTTAGGTGCTTTGTCTTTGTAATCTTCAAACAGCATGGTGACCACAGTTAATAATAATGGACTGTATATTTCAAAATTGCTAAAAGAGTAGACTTTGCCCTTACAACAGAAACATGATAAGTAGGGGTGATGGATATTTTCATTGGCTTGATTTAATGTTTCTACAATGTATATGTATATCAAAACATCACATTTTACCCCATAAGTATATACAATTATTATATATAAATTACTAAAATTGTAAAAAACCAACAACCCCAAGAGGTAGTGATCATTGGTTCCATTCTACAGGAAAGAGAAGTTAAGGACTTTGTCAAAGGTAACAAAGCTAGTCAATTTGGGAGGTGGCAACTGAATTGAGTCCATCTATTTTCAAAGTCAATGCTCCTTCACTTCTTCAGGGAAACTGCCCTGTCTTCCACCCTCAACCCATTTCCTGAACGGGCTTTGTGAAATCACTGAAAATCTGCCCTTCCCTGTCCTTCCACTCTGGTTCCCAGTTCTTAGACCCTGAGCTTCTTGGGGGCTGCTTGGGATAACACCACACCCCTGCCCAGCAGGCAGTTTCAGTCACAATGGAGCCTTTGTTCTAAGATGAGAAACCTCTCTTTGGGAATCTGCTCCAGACACCTGCAGCCTCTTTAACCTTGGTGTTGGGAGACCATCATGTCAGGGACACTCAGCACAGGGCAGCTTCAGGAGTAGGTCTGTGTACACTGCAACTGGAAAGCTCAAGGAGAATGAAATCTCTTCGTGGGACTGGAAAGTAACAATGGAGAAGACCGTGCTGCCTTCTTCCTCTTTCCTCCAAGGACAAAATACCTGGAGGAAGGCTCAAAGCTGGGCTACAGGGGTATAGCCAGGGATAAAATTTAAAAAGTACTTAACAGCTCATTGCCCTGCAACATGACCCTGGGCCAACCTCACATAGAGGATTTTGTAATGAGGATGAATCCTTTCATAAGCCCAGGTATCTAGTGGCTTGGACCATGATTAATGAATGGTATAAGGAGATGTTGGCTGAGGAGAGCTTGGGGTTGGTTGGAAATGAAGTGTCTGCACCCTGGGCTGTTGGGTTACAAGGACCTGTTGGGTTTACAAGGTCCGGTTCTATGGAATGAAGGCCAGAAAGGAGGATCTGAAGCTGGAGATGTAGGCTCCTTTTGCATGTCAGCATAGTTTTTTTCCGAGTCCCTTTTGCATTAGAATGTTCTCAGCTATAAGCAACAGGAAAGCCAACTCAAGCTGGCTTGGGCAATAAGATTTTTCTTTAGCTTACATATGAGATGAAAACAAGAAGTAAGAGTGTTTGGCCTTAGTAGATCCAGAAGTCCAATAATGTCATCAAGGACTTAGTATCTTTTCATCTTCCATGCTGCTGTCCACAGCATCAGTCTAATCCTAAGGCAGTTCCTCCTGAGGCTGTGGGAAGGCTGCCAGTAGCCACTGGCAGGGGAGTGTCTGCTTTCCTATTGCTCCCTTAAGAGTGAGAAAGCACTTCCTTAGAAGCCTCCAGAAAGTCTTTCTTTGGTGACATGCCCATTCCTAAACCAGTCACTGTCATGGGGGGCAGGATAACTCTTTAGATACGTCACATCTACCTTTTGAGATACAGGCAGTTCCCCAAACTGCTTGGTCCTATCTCCTATGTACTGAATGTGTCCCTTTCAAATCCTCAAGGCAATAGTATTTAAAGACAAGACCATTGGAAGGTGATTAGGTCCCTCGTGAATGGGATTAGTGCCCTTATAAGAGAGGTCTTTAGGAAACTTGTTTGCCTCTTCCACCAAGCGGGGTTGCAACAAGATGTTGTCTACAAAGCAGAGAACCCTCAGCAGACACTGAATCTGCTGGCACCTTGATCTTGGACTACTCAGCCTCTAGAGCTGTAAGATATAAATTTATTTTGTTTATAAGCCACCCAGTTTATGGCATTCTTTCTATACCAGCACAAACAGAATAAGACACCAAGAGGGGAGGTGTGCACTGGATGTTGCCTAATGAACCACCATGGCCACCCTACCCTCGAAACACCTAGTTAATAAGTTGTACTTAACGAATGTCAGCAAGTGTTTGTTGATTGAATATAAGTCTAGATTGTGAAGTCAGTTTCCTGTGGCTAGAATTGTGTCCAGAAAGTCACCAAAGTGAGGCTAAGTCTAAGAAAAGCCACTGTGTTAGGAGCTGAAGACATTACATTATATTCTTGACTATTTTTGACACTTTTCGTTCAATCGTTGAGTATTCCATATGCCAAATATATTTAATCCGTCCCTCCCATAGCCCCAAGGGGCTATTTTGAAATGAAATAAGATATATATCAAAGTACTTTAGCATCTTAGGGAGAAAGAAAATGTGATATCCATTGTTATTTCATAACATTTGTAACAAGATGGGAATTTTCCAAGTACATGAAAATCTTCTTTTGTTGAGATAAAAATCTCCTGCTTATGACAGGTAACAAGAAGTACTGCTTTTGAGCACAGCCAAAAAACTAATGGAACTTTAAGCAGCATATGGGGAACCACCCATGTCTCTGAGTTGATAATTGGCCTGTCCTTCCTGGGCTTGGACTTCCCATTTGATTTAGTGAGGCCTTTATTTATTTATTTATTTATTTATTTATTTGAGATGAGTCTCGCTCTGTAGTCAGGCTGGAGTGCAGTGGCATGATCTTGGCTCACTGAAACCTCTGCCTGCCAAGTTCAAGCGATTCTCCTGCCTCAGCCTCCTGAGTAGCTGGGACTACAAGTACGTGGCACCACGCCCAGCTAATTTTTGTATTTTTTTTTAGTAGAGATGAGTTTTCACCATGTTGGCCAGGATGGTCTCGATCTCCTGACTTCGTAATCCACCCGCCTCGGCCTCCCGAAGTGCTGGGATTACAGGCGTGAGCCACCGTGCCCGGCCAGAACCTCATTCCTTCGCTTCTCTGTCTGCTCTTGGAGGATTTGAGCTTGTTGGAGCAGCGGTATTAGAAAACATGACACTTTTATTAACTTCATCAAACAACTGACTCTGTCCTGGGGGCCAGAATGTGTTGGTCTGTTATCATGGCTCTGTTCCAGTCCTTCTCATAGCAGCTGTTTTCAAACGCATTCTTGGGCTCATACTTATAGCATGATGTTAATCCATTTCTTCACTCAACTATCTGTTGATGTGTAATCTTGATTGTTATCAAAACCCAACATATTTAGTAGGCCCTGATCCAGGAATAGCACTGAGCTATGCTTTGTTCAGAAGGAATTACTCAGACATTTTGCCTCTGCGTATAATCCTCAGTGACCTGAGGGAGCTCACACTGTTTCATTCCCTCATTACTACATATGCCACCTGCAACTCGTATTTTACAATACCCTTCAGTACCGTGATGATGACCATTTTAGCACAAATCACCATTCTGGGCTTCCACTGCCCCATTGAGCCCTTGGGAGAGGATCACTGAGAAGTACTATGAGTACTTCTCGGAATCAGAAAAAGCTAAGCCCAGCAGTAAGAAGTCCAGTGTTTGGGTCGGTATCTACTTTCTACTCACTTATCCTTCACCATGGTTCCTTGGCTACCGTGTTTATCACCAAGTCTAAACTTCTAGATCATATCCTTTCCTCCTTCTGTTTTGCCACAATGTGGTCTGTATACTCAGTAACCTGAAAATTACTAGGTTAACGATTACCAGTATACTCTATATAAACGAAAAGGGGTAAAACATGAGAAAAATTATTTTAAAGATAGAAACATACATATCATGTATCAAGGAAAAAAAATAAAATACAGGTAGGTATTACAGTCCACCTATCTGAAGCTGATGAAAAAGCTGTAGTTAGTGTTTATGACTTCCTTTTTCTGTTATTCATTTTCCCTATGCTTTCAGGCAGTTTTTTATTCAGTGGGTTAAACTATATCTTCATACCTGTAAGTTCTGAGACATTGATGGTCTTGCTTATTTTCAGTTTCTGTAATCTTCTGTTAAGTTTTCTAATCTTCGGAGACTAATACTTTATCTTCCCTAAATTTTAGAATTCACTAGGGATGTTACCGGGGCCTGAAATTTTCTGTCTTTGAAGTTTTAAAATTCCATTTGTATTTTTTGAATACACATATTCATATGTGTTTATTTTTCTTGAGCTTATTTTTGTAACTTTTTTTCTAGAAATTTTGTTTTCAGAATTTTCCTATTGGTCGTCACATAGTTATCTATAATAACGTTATATTATCTTTTTAAGGTTTGTAAAATCTAACAGATGATCTGATAAGAGGATCACAAGTTTAATTTAGTTGTCAGGATACCATACACAAAGTTTGGTATGCTGTATTTTCATTTGTCATTTAGTTCAAAATATTTTCTAATTTCCACTAAAAAATATTTTATCCCATAGATTATTTGGAAATGTATTGCTTAGTTTCTAAACATGTATGCATTTCTAGTTATCCTATTGTTACTAATTTCTAACTTAATTCCAATTCAGTCAGAGAATATATTCTGCTGATTTCAATCTTTCAAAGTATATTCACTTCTTTTATGGTCCAGAATGGTCAATTTTGGTAAATGTTCAATGTGGATTGAGCATTTACCAAAAAATTGACAAAAAAAATACATGTTCTGTATCTATTGGATTTGGCATTCTGTAGATGTAACTAGGTCAGATTTGTTCAGATCTTCCGCATCTCTAATAATTTTTACTCTCTGTTCTCTCAGTTTCTGAGAGAGGTATATTAAAACAGCAGTACCCAACCTTTTTGGCACCAGGGACCAGCTTTGTGGAAGACAATTTTTCCATGGACCGAGGTTAGGGGTGGGGATGGTTTCAGAATGAAACTGTTCCACCTCAGATCATCAGGCATTAGATTATCATAAGAAGCATGCAACCTAGATCCCTCACATGCACAGTTCACAATAGGGTTTGTGCTCCTATGAGAATCTAATGCTTCCACTGACCTGACATAAGGCAGAGCTCAGGGTGGTAATGCTCTCTCACCTGCTGCCCACCTCCTGCTGTGTGGCCTTGTTTCTAACAGGCCACAGATCAGTACTGGTCCATAGCCCTGGGGCTGGGGACCCCTGTGTTAAAGTATCCCGCTATGATTATGAATGTATCTATTTTTCCTTTTAATCTTATGAAATTTTTCTTTACATATTTTGAAGCTATGCTCTCAGATACAAATTTAGAACTGTAATATCCTCCTTGTGAATTGACACTTTAGTATATATATTAGTTATCCCTCTATCTGTTTTATCTTTAGTCATGCTTCTTAGTGGTCTGTTTAAAAAAATATTATAGCTGCAACACTTCCTACTGATTAATGTTAACATTATATGTATATTTTTTCATTATTTTACTTTCAATTTTTCTCTTTCTTTATATTTAAGATATGTCTTCTTAAAGTAGCATATACTTCAGTTTTGGTGTTTTAATTTGGTCTTAAAATCTTTATGTTTTAATTAGATTATTGACTTATTTTACATTTAATGTAAGTACTTATATATCTGGTCTTATATCTACCATTTTTCTATTGGTTTTCTATTTGTCCTAATTCATAATCTTTTTTGTCTTTTTTGCATTTTTTGATTAATGAAGCACTTTTTATTATTTTCTTTTCTTTTCTACTAGTTTGTTGGTTATGGTTTGAAAGAGTCAGTATTCAATTAAATTTACTGACATAATTATTTCATTCTCTGCTCTTTATTTCTCCCTTCATTTTCATGCTTTTTCATCAAATTTCTCTGGTTTAAAAGGCTAGTTTTTTACTGCTACATAATAATTATACATATTTATGGGGGTACGTGTGATATCTTGATACATGCATACAATGTGTAATGATGAAATCATCTATCACACCAAACATTTATTAGGTTGGTTCGAAAATAATTACCTCTAATGGCAAAAGCCACAATTACTTCTGAACCAACCTAATATTATTTCTTTGTCTTGGGAACATACCAAATCTTCTCTTCTAGCTATTTCAAAATATATAACAAATTATTGTTAGCTATAATCACCCTACTATGCCATCAAACACTAGAACTTATTCTTTCTAATTGTATTTTTGTAGCCATTAACTTCTCTTTATTCCCAACCCCCATCCTTCTCAGCATCTGATAACCATCATTCTACTCTCTACTTCCATTCATATATGAGAGCTGAAAAAGTTCATATTAAAAAGAGAGACAAATACGTGATATTTGTCTTTCTGTTCCTGGCTGCTTTTACTTAACAATGTCCTCCAATTCCATCATGTTGCTGCACATGACAGGATTTCATTCATTTTTATGGCTGAATAATATTTTCTTTCTTTCTTTTTCTTTCTTTTTCTTTCTTCTTTCTTTCTTTTCTTCTTTCTCTCTCTCTCTCCTTCCTTCCTTCCTTCCTTCCTTCCCTTCCTTCCCTTCCTTTCCTTTCTTCTTTCTTTCCTTTTTTTTTGAGACAAGGTCTGACTCTGTTGCCCTGGTTGGATTGTGGTGGTGTGATCACAGCTCACTGCAGCCTTCACCTCCCAGGCTCAAGGGATCCTCCTGTCTCAGCCTCCTGAGTAGCAGGGACTACAGGTACATGCCAACACGCCCAGCAATTTTTTTGTATTTTTGGTAGAGATGAGGTTTTGCCATGTTGCCCAGACTAGTCTTGAACTCCTGGGCTCAAGTAATCCACCTGCCTCAGCCTCCCAAAGTGCTGAGACTACAGGCATTAGCCAATGCGCCCAGCCAATATTTCATTATGCGTATATATACTGCATTGTCTTTATTCATTTGTTAATGGACAGTTCAATTAATTCCATATCTTGGCTATCGTGAATAATACTGCAGCAAACATGAGAGTGCGGGAATTTCTTTGACATACTGATTTCCATTTTTTAGGATATGTGGGATTGCTGGATCATATGGTAGTTCTATTTTTAGTTTTTTGAAGATATTCATACTGTTTTCTATAATGTCTATACTGATTTAAATTTCTACCAACAGTGTATGAGTTCCCTTTTCTCTGCATTCTCTCTAGTATCTGTTTTGGTTTTTTGTTATTGTTATTTTTTGTTTGCTTTTTTGGTAATAGTCTTTCTAACTGAGGTGAGATGATGTCTCATTGTGGTTTTGATTTGAATTTCCCTGATGATTAGCTATGTTGAGCATTTTTCCATACACCTGTTGGCCATTTGTATGTCTTGTTTTGAAAAATGTCTATTCAACTCATTTGCCCATTTTTAAATTGGATTATTTGTTGTTTTGCTGTTGAGATGTTTGAGTTCCTTGTATATTCTGGATATTAATTCCCTTGTTGAATGAATAGTTTGCAAACATTTTCTCCCATTCTGTAGGTTGTTTCTTTACTCTGTTGATTGTTTCCTTTGGTGTGCAGAAGCTTTTTAGTTGAATATAATTTCATTTGTCTATTTTTTGCTTTTGTTGCCTGTGCTTTTGCGGTCTTCTCCATAAAATGTTTGCCCAGGCCAATGTCTTGAAACTTTCCCCTATGTTTTCTTCTCATAGTCTCATAGTTTTGGGCATTACATTCAAGTATTTATCCATTTTAAGTTTATTTCTGTATATAATGAGAGATAGAGAACTAATTTTATTTTTCTGAATATGTGTATTCAGTTTTTCCAGCACCATTTGTTGAATAGATTGTTCTCTCCCCAGTGAATGTTCTTGGCACCTTTGTCAAAAAACAGATGCCTGTGAATACGTGGATTTATTTCTGGGTTTTTTATTCTGTTCCACTAATCTATGTGTCTGTTTTTATGCCAATACCATGCTGATTTGGTTGCTATACCTTTGTAGTATATTTTGATGCCAAGTAATGTGACTTCAGCTTTGATTTTTCTTTTTTAAATTTTTTAGCTTAAGTTTGCTTTTACTACTGGGATCTTTTGTGGTTTCATGTGAATTTTAGTATTTTTTTTTCTATTTCTGTGAAGAATGTCATTGGTATTTTGATAGGGATTGCATTGAATCTGTAGCTCACTTTAAGTAGTGTGGCTATTTAACAGTATTAATTATTCCAATTTGTGAACATGGAATGTGTTTCAATTTTTTGTCTTCTTTTCAATTTCTTTCATGAGTGAAAAAATTTATCATTACTTTGATGGCAAATCTGCTGGCAATAAATTCTCAGGGCATTTATTTTCTGAAACTGCCTTTATTTTATCTTCAATTTTGAAGAAATTTTTCATTATGTACAGAATTCTAGGATGGTGATTATTACCTCAACATTTTAAAGAATGCATTACTTTGTCTTTTGGCTTCTATCCTTTTGGTTACTTTTGCTCTTTTGAAAACAGTGCTTCCCCCTCCCTTTTGGCTGCTTTGAATGTCTTTTTGTCTTTGAGTTTTGTTTGGTTTTTAGTAGTTTACTCTGATTTATCTAGGTGTGGTTTTCTTTGTATTTATCCTACTTGATGTTCTTAGGTAGTCTGCAGTCTGTGGCTTTTGTTCATTTTTGGAAAATTATCTGTCACTATCTAATTAAATATTTCACCTGCTACATTTGTCTTTCTTCTCTTATAACTCCAACTGCACAAGTGTTCAATCTTTTGCCATGTCTCATATTGTACATTCTTTCTCCTACCTTGTTTCAATCTGGATTATTTTTTACTGATATATCTAGCAAATCACTATCTCCCTTTTCTTCTGTATTTAATCTTCTTTTTTACCAATCTATTGTATTCTTAACTACAATATATATATTTTTTGCATTTGTTAAGTCCGTTCTATTTTTCTTTTAAATAAGTATGAGTCTCTGGTAAAAGTTTGTATTTTGCCTTTTATCATTTAGAACATATTAATCACAGTTGGTTTAAGCCTTTATCTCATAACTTCCTGAATCCCTTGTGCATCTATTTCTATTTTTTCTCGTTGATTCTGTTTCCTAATATTTTTTAATTGAATGTTGAATATTGTGTAAAATATGTTATAGAGGATCCATATGATGTTATACATGTCACATAATTCAGTCAGGGACTGATCTGATTCAAGGCTTGGGTTCAGTCACTGTAAGGTTTGACCTACTTCTAGCGTGTCCCTATTTCTGGGGTGTAGCTCTTCAATGAATCCCAAAGCTTTGAGTGTTTATCAAAGAGCTCTGCCTTGGCAGGTCCTGAACTCCAATTGTAGTCTCCTTTGTACTGGGGAACTACTGCTAATGATTCTGCTAATGTCTCATCTTTTAAACCTTCACTTTCTGTTTGTAATCTTCACTTTTAGGTTTGTACTACTTGTGAATGCCTCCAGGAAAACAACAACAATAACAACAGTAGAGAATGCCTGGCTCATATCAATATGTTTTTCTTTCCTCTGGAATTTTAAGCCTCAAAAGCTGGCTGCTGGGGAAGATGGTGGATAGGAAGCACCAGGAATCTGTCTCCTCACTTAAACAGCTGCATTGCAGAGTCTGTCTGATGTGACTATTGTTGAACTCCAGAGTCTATTGAAAGCTTACAACTTCCAGGAAAAGGCTGGAAAAGACAATGAAGCAGTAACAATTGTCACACCACCCCCCCACTGTTCCAAGCCCCTGCCCCTTTGACTGAAATGACTTCCAGGGGATTTAAAGTGCCAGTGTCCTTCCTCCCTCTGTATTTTTCTATTTTGCTCTTTTACTCCTTATGGGAACAAGATATTAAAGACTAGGACAACTAAAAAGACCTACATAAATTGAGTAAATTAGACAGTGACTATATATGCCCAGGAAAAGTTTCAGAAAAGACAATATTTTAGATTTATATCTTAGGCTAATTCTCAGCACAGAGTCATCCTTCATGAATCAAAAAAAAATTGAGATAATAAAAATAATAACACAAATAGCAAACCTTGAGGAAGAGAAAGAATCTGCTTTTCATAGGTACAATATTATTAGATTCAAAAGTCCAATTTTCAACCAGAAAAATCATAAGTCATACAAAGACACAAGAAAGTATAGCCTGTTCAAAAGATCAATCAATTAGCAGAAAATGTCCCTAAAAAAGATCTGATGGCAGATATACTAGACAAAGACTTTAAAACAACTGTCTTCAAGATGTTCAAAGAACTAAAAGATGTGAAGAAAGTCAAGAGAACAACATATGAACAAAATAGAAATATTAATAAAGAGATAGAATACTTCAGATAACTATATGTATTTATTTGCATATATAATCAAAATATTAATAAAGAGATGAAATACCTACAGAGAAATATTTCAGTTTTTCCAGCACCATTTATTGAAAATACAAAATGTTTCTCTGCAGGTATTCTCTTTATTGATATTTCTATTTTGTTCATATGTTGTTTATTTTCTCTACATCTTCTGTATATATAAAAGTATACATATGTATTTCTCTGTAGGTATTATTTATATTAGATATATATTTCTCTGCAGGTATTCTATCTCTATTAATATTTCTATTTATAAATATTTAAAATATTTAATATATATTAATGGAGCTGAAAGTACAATTGAAATAAGTTTACTAAAATGATTCAAAGGTAGATTTGAGCAGGTAAAAGAAAGAACCAGTGAACTTGAATATAAGACAACAGAAATGATCAAGTTTGCGGAATAGAAAGAAACAAAATTTAAGAGAATTGACCAGAGCCTAAAAAGACCCATGGGACATCATCAACTGAACCAATATACACATTGTGGGAGTTTCAGAAGGAGAAGAGAGAGAATGGGCAGAGAAAATATTTGAAAAAATAATGGCTGAAAACTTCACCAAATTTGATAAAAGACATGAAAATATACATCCAAAAAGCTCAACATACTCTAAATAAGATGAACTCAAAGAGACCCACACAAGAGACAATCAAACTTTAGAAATGCAAAAACAAAGAATCTTGAAAGCAACAAGAAGAGTGAGTTATCATATACAAAAGATTCTCAATACGATTATCAATAAATTTCACATTAAACACTTTGGAAGCTAGAAGGCAGTGGGCAAATACATTCAAATTGCTAAAGTTAAAAAAAAAACCTGTTAGTCAACAATGCTAAATCTGGCAAAACTGTTCTTCAAAAGCGAAGGAGAAATTAAGACATCTCCAGATCAACAAAAGTTGAGGGAGTTTATTATCACTAGATCTGCTTGTAAAAAATGCTCAAGGAAGTCCTGCAGGGTGAAATAAAAGAAATAGTAACTTGAAGCTGTATGAAAAAATAAATACCTCAATAAAAACAAATACATACGCAATTATTAAATCTAGTGTTTTTGTAAAAACAGTTCATAACTCATTTTTTCTTTTCTACATATTTAAGAGACAATTGCATTTAAAAGAATTATTAGTTTATGTTTTTGGGAACACAATATATATTTTGTGACATCAACTGAAAGGGGTAAGGATGAAGCTTTAAAGGACAGAGGTTTAGTATATCATTGGGGTTAAGCTAGTACAGGTACAATATTATTAGATTCTAATTTAAATTAGAGTGTTATAACTTTAGTATGTTAACTGTAATTCCCATGGTACTACAAAGAAAATAGCTATAGAATATATGCCCCAAAATAAGAATAGAACCTAAACATTTCACTACAAAAAATCAACTAAACACAAAAAGAGACAGTAATGCAGAAAATGAGCAACAAAAGGCTACAAGACATATAGAAACAAATATCAGAATGATAGAAGTTAGTCCCTCCTTATCAGTAACTAAAAGTAAATGAATTAAACCATCCAATCAAAAGACAGAGATTGACAGAATGAATAAAAACGATGATCTAGCTCTATGCTATCTGTAAAAGACTCCCTTTATATCCAAAGACACAAATACAATAGATTGAAAGTGAGAGGGTAGAAACAGATATTTTATGAAAATAGTAACCAAAAGGGAGCACAATGGCTTTACTAATATCAGACAAAACAGAGTTTAAATCAAAACAGATTACAAGAGACAAAGAAGGACATCACATATTAATGAGTTTTAATACAGCAAGAAGATACAATTTACACATCTAATTATAGACCATCAAAATGCAATAATAGCTGCAGAATTCAATATCTCACTCTCAATAATGAATAGCACAATCAGACAGAAGGAAAGAGAAATAGGAGACTTAACACCATAAACCAACTAGATCTAATAGACATTTATAGAATATTCTAGTCAACAACAATAGCATACATACTCTTCTCAAATATACACGGAACGTTTTCTAGGATAGACAATATGTTAGGCCACAATAAATCTTACTACATTTAAAAAGTAATCACACAAAGTTGTTCCTCAGATTGAAATCAATACTGCAGTTTGGCATCATCCTGCTGCTTGGAGTCCTATTGATAGTAGCCTCAGTAAAATGCTGTGTGAGACAATATGAATAGATTTGATCCCAGCTTCATTTTTTTTCCATTATCCTACTCAGAGTACCCAGCTTCTATGATTCAGATTAATCATAGTGGCCAACAGAGTTGTACATTAATGAGATATTTACCAAAAGCTAAGACAGTGTGGAAATTATAAGTGGATATTGTTGAGTGACAGTTCTCCATGAGTCCCTTGCATTTCTGCATATCTATGAATGAGACACTGACTGCCTTCAGTTTCATATTATCTTTTTTGTTTGTGTAGCAAATAGCTTTGGGAGATAGAGATAGCAACTTTCTTTGGATCAAAAAGCAGGCATGCTTATTGCTCATTATTTAAGATTTAGGTTCCCTCAGCTCAGGGTTTCTCTCCTGTAACACAACACACTGCATGTACAGATATCCATTTGGGACCATCTCCATCACTCCTGAAGAGTTTTGGGCCAGAGGATATGTTGATGCTTATGCTGCTTGCTGTACCATGAATTAAAAAGTCCCTTGTCTTTGACCCAGGAGTCTCAGGTCTTCTGAAATTTTAGTAAGCTAACTTGTCAACTTGTAAGTAGAGTAAATCTCAGACCATATAGAATTTTTGACATCTACTGAAATTAAAAACCCATTTTTACTGCAGTATCTCCCACCACCTTTGCAGCATAAAGAATAGCTGGAGTAACACTTTTCAAAGATGCTGGCAGTTTCTCTACAAAAAATGATATATTTTCACTGTCTAATTGAAAGAATTCCCTCCTAATCCCTCTTACAGGACATATTTAAAAGGACAGTGTCTCAGTCAATTTTCTGTTGCTACAACTTAATACATGAGACTGGGTAATTCATACATATGTAAAAATTATTTTGTACAGTTCTGAAGGCTGGGAAGTCCAATATCAAGGTGCCAACATCTAGTGAGGGCCTTCTTTCTGCATCATAATATGGCAGAGGGCATCACATGGCAAAAGGGCAAGAGCATGCCAGTTCAGGTCTCTCTTCCTCTTCTTATAAAGTCATAAAGCCACCAGTCCCCTCACGGGTGCCCCACCTTAATAACCTTATCTCATTCTAATTACCTCCCAAAGGGTTTACTTCCAAATGCCATTAACATATGAATTTGGGGATAAAGTTCCCAACATATAAAATATGGGAGATACACTCAACACATAGCAGACAGTGCGTAAATAGTCCATAGTAAGTCCCTTTTCTAAGTCTTTGGATTCTTTCCTCTACATTATTCTGAGGAACTACTGGCATTTTAACATATTTTATCCTGGGCCATAACTGATTCCAGGTTTCAGCTCTTCAACTATGCAAACAATTATACCATGCCAAGTTGCTCTAGCTAGCACATTGCATCTCTGACCTAAATTTGTGTATCTACAGATTTGGCTCATGTGAAAATTATATTCTACCCTCCTTGGTCCGGTTCCTCAAAAGCTATACCTGGACACATTTCTACATTTTGCTTATATATGTTAACAATATCTTTCATATCTCTTTCTGGATTTGACTCGTAATTGGCCTTCTGACACCAATCTCAGAGGCTTTCCAGGTCCCATAGGAAGAGCAGCTTTCTTCAGTTTTCTGCATATGTTCTGGTTTTGAGCTTTGTTGGCTCTGGTTAGTCACAATGTAAAAATCCTGTTTATTTTCTGTTTTCCAGAAATTTCTCAAATATTTGGTACACTCCTGACTTCTCCCTATTCTCAGAGCTGTTAATGAAGTTAGTCTCCTTTGTAAGTCTTTCAGTCATCTCGGCAGGTTGGGTAGGGAGGTGAACTTACACTCAGTTTGCCATTTTTTACCTGGAAGTCTCTATTCAGTTTTCAGTCTAATACTCTACTAGTGAAAGTCACCTATGCACCACAGGTTGCCAAATCTAACCAGTCTATTCTGGGCCTATTTTACTTGATCTTTCTGGAATTTGATATTGTTGATCATTCTTTTCTAGAAAATCTCTCATTTTTTGGCTTCAAATATTTGATACTTTCCTGGTCTTTTTTTTTTTCCAGGCTGTTTTTATAAGAGTCCATGTTCACTTGTAATCTCTGAAATGCTGGTGTTACCAAGTTTCCATCTTTGTTCTTCTCTTTTCTGTTTTTAGGGTTCTCCCAGAGGTGGGAGAAAAACCATGCCTATAGAGGAATAAGACTAAAATAGGAATTAGACACCTCATTAACAAGCCTGTAGAACATGAATCAATTACTTAATAATTTCCATCTAGAAACTCATGCCTAACCAAACAATATAAGGACATGTTTCAGCATGCAAAGACTGCCACAGCCATTAATATAGTCTGTATGCTTATGACTTCCAAATGTATAAGTTCAGGCCAGACCTTGACTCTAGAGTTCCTCACCTATTCAGTGACCTGTTGAATAACTCCATCTGGATATCTCAAATCTGTTTAAACCTAGTACGTTCAAAATTGAGCTAAACAATCTGCCTGATAAAATCTGTTCCCTGAATTGTACCCTTTATCTTAGCAAGTTATACCACTATTCACCTACAAAACTTTTAGTGATTGCCAAATTCTTCCTTTCCCAATCTCCAACACTAATCAGTAACCAAATCTCAGTTCTGTCTATTGACCATTTCTTGTAGACATTCTTTTTTTATTTCTCTATTGCTCCCTTAATTTATTGTTTAAATCATTTCCTGTTTGGCCTCCCCACTTCCAATCTTGACATACTCAAGACCCTCCCCTAGACTGTGGCCACAATGAACTTTCTACAAAGTAAATGTAGCCCTGTCTTTACCTTTATTAAGAGACTCAGTGGTTTCTCAGTTCTTACAGGATAAAACCCCAACTCCTTAGTTTCATTATCTCTCTTCTGACCATCTTCCCCTTCTTCTTACTATTATCCAGTTCATTTTTTTTCCTGCTCCAACTATACTAAATCATATTGTACTTGTAGTACTCTAGTGCTGTTCCATTCTTCCATATTTTTACTCCCACTGCCAAAAATGCTGTTTCCATTGTTGATGATATACTAATCATCCTCCAAGACACATTGGAGCATCAATGTTTCTAAGGAAAATTTTCTGAAACCCTATGCAACTCTGTCATTTGGTACAAATATCTATTTATGTTTTTTATTCCCCTTGTGTGCCCTGGAAATACCTGCTAACGTGCCTGTTCTCTATCAGACTGAGGATTCCTTAAAAGCATGGACCATGTCTTGCTTATATTAATATAATCAACAGGGCATTTAGCACAGTCAATATTTCTAAATGAATGAATAAATAAGTGAATAAATAAAACCTTATTTAGTATCCTCTGTTCTGAATGATCCTTCTCCAAACTCAACTATTATCCTTAAGCTATTGCCTAATTCTCTGCTTCCTTTCATAGACTGACACCTCAGACTAGGGTCAGGAAGATGACTCCCAGATAGGTTTGGAAGAAATCTGAGAATATCAGGACATGTGTTGAGTTTTCTTTGCAAGCCTGCAAGCCCCTCAGAGAAATCCAACCTGTGGGACTGGAGTAGTAAAGTAGTGTCTCAAGGAGATGCCTTGGAGGTAGATCTGGCCAGTCTCCCAGAATCCTACTCACTATATTGTGGTACAGAGAAAGGAGCTGAGAATTTGCAGGCCCAGAAGGAAGGCAGGAAAAGGAAGGGTTAAGAGAATTAGTGGATCAGAAAGGATCAGGATCAGGATCCCAGAGCACCAGGACAGGTCACAGGCCATGGAAAAGTCTACGGATTCCAGCCTGAGACTTCAAAGACTAGGTTGAATCTATGCCACAGTGGGCATGGCAAGGAGAAAAGCCAATGCTCAGAGACCAACCAAGGTGAGAAACCCAATTCAGGGACCACTCAGCAGTAGACATCTGCCAGGACAATGTGAGAGTCTCTGGGAAATTAGATGACCTCCAAAGGAGAATAGGAAGAGGTAGAATCTGGCTGGGCGTGGTGGCTCACACTTGTAATCCCAGCACTTTGGGAGGCTGAGGTGGGTGGATCAGATCACTATGTCAGGAGTTCGAGACCAGCCTGGCCAACACAGTGAAACCCCATCTCTACTAAAAATACAAAAATTAGCCAGGCGTGGTGACGGGCACCTGTAATCCCAGCTTCTCAGGAGGCTGAGGCAGGAGAATCGCTTGAACCCGGGAGGCAGAGGTTGCGGTGAGCCAAGATCTCCCCACTGCACTCCAGCCTAGGGAACAGAGCAAGACTCCATCTCAAAAAAAAAAAAAAAAAAAAAAAAAAGGTAGAATCCCTGGAAGACTCATATATAAATTGTATGTGACAATTAGATTTTACCTGACATTATAATATTCAGATTTGGCTAAAAATCATTAGAGCAGACTATGCGTACCTGAACAGAATAGGATAAATTGTCTGTTCTAGGAATACAGAGGAGACTTGGGAGAAAAGTTATCAGTTATTGAAAATTTAAAAGGCTACCTTTCTCCACATATGAGTCTTAATGTGCACATTTGGATCTCCCCACTTCTACCCTCAGCTACCCATGAGTAGATCAGGAATTGGAAAAGTAGGAGATCCAAAACCACATATCCCAAACATTCCAGGAGAGTCCTCATTTCCAATATTCTGTCCCCTTGTTGTTCTGACTGCTTAGATTCTTTGGAGACCAAGTGACCCACATTTTGGTGTGGAAAATTCTATGCATTTTGTTCAGCTATTGACTTGCCCCCACCCCACACTCACACACCAGGAGAAAAGACTAGGTGGTAAATTACATTTTGCTTTCAATTTTCTTTAGCAGTGATTCTTGCATTGTCAAGATTTTGTATGGCACATGCTGTACAAATGGATATGCACTGATGTTTGGTAACTGAGGCACATTTAAATGTGCACGTTGGCTTTTTGGGAGAGAGCCTGCACTGCTTCTTCATTTGTTTCATAATTTCATTAGTAATTATGCATAACAAATGTGACCCTCTGGTGAAAAATGATGATAGGGATAGAAACATGTTATTAATCCTTAAGGGAAGCTTTGAAAAAGGTCAAGGTTAGTTAGTGTCTACAGTTAAATTAGCCTCTGGAAGTTTACATATAAATAGAAACAAACAGGGAATCTCAAGGACCTCTTGGGCAGTTGGAAGTGGAAGGAAAAGAAGCAGTAATTAAGTTTCCTTTGTCATCAACTACTTCCACTTCCCAGATAAATGATCATAAATTACTAGAATGTGTCTTAACTTTTAGCACTGTGAAGCCATGAAAAGCTCTCTTTCTTGACTTGATTTAGAAATTTGGCTTAGATAACTGGAAAGTAGGAGATCCCTAGATTCAAACCTCTGTCTTTCTTTGACTCATAAACAAACTTTCTAAATGAATCAGAGTAGAAGAAGATGCTTAAACATGCTGGCGTAACTGTTAACTTTGCCATTTTTGCTAAAAGGATAACGTATATTTTCCAACATTATATTTAATTTCATTAGCTACTGTTGCTTTTTGGGAATCTACATATTATACATGAAGATAAACATTCTCCCTGTGATAAGGCTGTGTTTATAAACTGGATTTAGGATGAAAGAATACGCTAAACTGATGTGTTTTCATTGCAGGGTTAATGGTGCTTTACTAATCCCCTTTCTGTGGGCCAGCAAGGCTCAGGCATTTGAGCATTTTTGGTGACTGTCATATATTTGCCTTCTTGAGCATTGTAACAGGAGGAAGCCCTCTCTCTTGCACAGGAATGTGAAGAAATGATGCCCCTCCTCTTCCTGGAATGGAACTTGTGTGCAATAAAAATAAAACATACATGGACTTCTCCAAGCTTACTACTGAAGTTTGAATAAAAACTATTTGTCCCTTTAATAGCTGAACAATTTATGCAGGGGATCCTGTCTTTTTTTTTCTTCCTACTGTGGATGTGGGTGTCTTCTACACTGAGGAGGAGGGAAAGTGAGTCTACTTCTATGTTGAAAAAAAGCTCACTGCCAGGGCAGGCTTTTCCCTTCTTCTCAGGAAAGAAATGAAGACTTAACTAAAATATATTGTTAAATATTTTAAAGCTACAGAAAGGCATAGGAATTATGTAATGAACACCCAAGTACACAGTATCCAGCTAATGAGATCAATCAATGCAATATGGTGGAAAACCCTATGCACATCCCCATTGTATTTCCTTCTAACACATACCCCCATCCTTCCTTTGCCTTCCAGAGGCAAGTCTTTAAGTTTTGTCATACATTAAGGCATCTCTAAACAAACAAACAAATAAAAATAGTGTCCTTTACAGTTTTTAGACAATGTAAATAGAATCTTGCTGTATATATGTATTCTTTTGCAACTTGCTCGTTCTGTGTTTTAGTTTTATCCATGTGGATAACATTTTATCGTGAGTTTTATCACACATGCTGCTCGATTACATAATTTCCACTATATGTTGGATAGGAATAGCACAATTTATCTCTTCCCAGAAGTCCTTCTTTCCTCCTGAACAGACAAAGAAATACTTGGAGTATTAATGGGACCCTCAGATGGCAGAATTCATAGCAAATACAATATCCACACCTAAGAGAGATTCTCACAAAGAGAACATGTCAAGAAAATGCATGCTAGATGGTGCTTTTGTAGTTCTACTTTCCGCCTTTAGTTATATTGTATCTTCTTTTGCATGTATTCTGAGGTATATTTCTTTAGTCAGGTGAATTTACTCTTCCTACACATCACATTGAGTGTTTTAAATACTGAAATAAAAAACTGAGACCTGTTGTAACCTAATGTTCTTCATGGACCAAAATTGTCTAGTATGTGAGGGCATGTCTGGGTGCTTGTCTTAGTGTGTCTTTAGCCTCAGAGGAAGCAGGACTAGGTGGGGAGGGTTTGACGAGGCCAGGAGAAGCTTGCCTTGTGAAGTGGCAGGATCCAGGAAATTTCAGAAAGGCTGCTATTGACAGGGCTGGGGTGTCTTTTCTCCTTCGATCTTAGATCTCTTACTCAATGGCAGAATGCAAGAGCCTAGCAAGGTTCCATAATGGCGAGGCTACCTCCTGGTTTTAAGGAATGAATTAACAAGTGCATTGGGCAAGGTCATGGGTTGCTGACTCCTAGGCCTGGTTTCTATTTTCTAGACCTTCTGTCTTCTGCTACTTCTACAACTGTTAGTCATTTTCTTATCTCTTCTGCTGCGACCTCAGTAAGCCTACAGATTTTGATCTACCGAAAAGTGTTTATTAAATCCTGCTGAGTCTTCTTTTGAAATGCCCCTTATCAACATCCCATCCCTTCCACATCACTCCCCAGCCCCTCAGTCATCACTTCACACCGGGATGGCTGGCATGGGCTCATAGCTGACTAGGTGAGGCATCCCCCTCCTGCCTAAGTCATCCTACATGCCAAAGTTATTCTTCTTCCTCAGACACTCTTATTCCACAGATCACTGGTCTCCAAACCATCAAAGATTCCCATTTTCTCAAATATCAAATCTAAGCTTCTGTTCTGAATTTTCCAGACCCATAATTTTGTCCATCCTGCTGATTCTTACTTCCTGTTATTTCTTTGCTACCCAACTTCAGCTCTAGTTTGCCTAATCTCTCTCAGATCCATCAATATGCCATTCCAATGCCTCTCTCTGATGATACTGCTTTCCACTCCTGGAATACTTACCTTCAAACCATTCTTTCATTCATTTGTAACATATATATTAAGGGCCTTGTATGTGCTAAATCCTAGGCTTCTAAGATCAAGATTTTTTTTACCTCAACTTTTTTTTTTTACTACCTCATCTCTATTAATCTCTTTCTTTTTATTAGTCTTAACCACTTTAAACATATAATGTAAAAAAAATGTAAAAGTTGGACACAGTTCATTAAGGTAAAAGCAAATGTGAAGTGTGGTCCTTTCTCTTTAAATAGCAACTTCTTAAGCAGCAAAAGGGATGAAGAGAATTTCAACCTCTAGAGAAGTGTATATGGAAGGCAAGCTGTGAGAATTAAATGAAATGGAATGTGATTAACAAAGCAATGCTTTAGAACAAAATTCCTATAATCTTATTTTGTTTAGTCTTCTTTCAAATGTATTTTTTCTTCATCTCTTTTGTGAGAGGATAACTCTTTAAGGGCAAAGGCTAAGTTTTCTTCTTTGAATTACCCCAGTTTTTAAACAGTGCTAAATAAACACTTGAGCCTTGACCAACTTTCTATTGTTTCTAACATATATATATATATATATATATAATCCCTTGCCTATATTTCTGGGAACAATGCTGATGGAAGGAATAGTTTAGGATGCAACCACCTTCCCATCCTTATCCTCGGTTATATCTCCTAGAGAAATGGAAGCCTTTAGATAGGCAAGAGAATGCAACAATGCAATGAAAGCAGGTAAAGCCTAGGCACCCACCTACTTTCCTAGTGAGTCTACCCTTATAGATCAGTAAAGGCATATTGTGGCATTTCCCCAGAAATATTCATCCCGATGTGTACATTTTTGATGTGCTCTCTTGTCTACATGTGTCTCCATTGTTCTAGTCATTCCTCCAGCCAGACATATCATGAAATTTTTACAATTCTCCTAACCACAAATCTTGGTGAGACCGCTGTAGAGGAATCTAACCTGGTTCTGGGTTGGAGCTAAATTTTAGTCCAAGTCACCCTGCTACTTGTTCCAACTACTGTTTATAGCAGTGGCATGCAGATTGTGTTTTTGCTTATCTCAATAATTTTACTCCCTCTGATGAAAGTTCTTTCTAACAAAATCATAATTTGGGTTGTTTTTGGATTTCATCAGGGTTGTTCTCTATTGTGAGTTACTATTTTAGTGTTTTCTGTTTCTCTCCTACAGAACTGTCTGCTAGGACTTTTAAATTTAGAACATCGGGTCTGAACAAACAATGAAGCATGACCTTTCAGAAAAGCTGATTAAAATGTTTTTTACTTGAAGGGAAGCAAGCCATAAATGCTAAGGAAGTGAGTGATTTATGATGTAAATTTTTAATTGAAAACTAATAATAAACAGGAAGTCCAGGGATGCTGCAACAGTGTGGCTACAAGCAACCCAAGTAATTCTTCACAGTGTAATGTAAGAATTTAACTTAATCACGGGTCCAAATAAATGAAAAAAAGGAAAAGACTCTTCATGAATGTTTCTGATAACTTGAAGGTGGTAGTTCTTTTTTACTTTGGAAAAACACTGATATCTCTATAACCATTTGGAAATTGGAATGGAGCGGGGAGGGGTGAAACCATGCTAATTGATGAAGACATAGATTTTCCGTAAAATATCTTGGCTTAATAAAGAGGCAGAATCTGTTTTTCTTTTATATCTACCCGACTCTCTCATATTATTTCAATTTATATTTGGCCTAGGAGGACGTTATTGTAATGTTCATTTTATGGGTAAGAAAATTGGAACACAGTGGTACAATAACTCAAATTTAAAACATCAGCTGGGGAACTGGTAGTAACAATTGTTATTCCAGCACCAAACTTGTGCTCATTTTAGAAAACTAGAACATACCCTGAGAAATAGGAAGATGGCCTCATTGGGATGCATTTCTATGATCTGGACTAGTTCTTTCTCAGGACTACCACACCTGCAGCCTCAGGGTATTAGTGCACCCTCTTCCTGAGAAGTCCTGGCCAATAACTGAGCATGTAACAGGACCTGGTCATTTCTACCCAGTGCAGAACTCCTCTGTGGGCAGTGTTTGCATTGGAGCTCCCCACTAGGCTGACTAGGCCTTTCAGAGCTCTAGCACAACCTGGGCCTCTTCCTACCGATTACTCCTTCCCTTCCCATGTTCATCTGGGGAGATCAGAACAGACTAAAGGCTTTTCTTGGCTGCTCCTCTTGGCACTCCCCTTATCATTCATGATCTTACCACTCCCAAATCTCTTGGCACTCTTAACTCCATCGTGGTGTGTGCTTCTCCAAGAACCTGAACTGATACAAATAGCCTATCTACAACATTGCTAGTTGGCAGAGGCATGTTTATATTAACTACTCTAATATCATTTCTATATAGTTAGAGGGTAGAACTAAGACCTTATACTGCCATCCTGATCAAACATGTAGACACTACCAATTTCCTTTTATTCCCTTCTTAAGTCTCCATGTGGGTGAGACTGTGATCTAATACAGTGGAACAAAACATTTTTTCATTTCATGGCCCAATAAAATAAACAAGCAAAATATTAAGGAATTGATATAGTTTCCAGGTTTTTTTTAACCAGATAAAGGTATTAAAAACCATCTACATATACTATCACAATTGTTTCATAAAGATAGTACTTTTTAACAAAAAAGATGAAGAACACAATCTGAGAATCAAAAATTTTTTGAATTTAATTTTTTTAGAGAAGTTTCAGGTTCACAACAAAATTGAGAGGAAAGTAAAGAGAATTCCCATATGCCTCCTTCCCCCACATTTGCATAGACACACCCATTAATAACATTCCCAGTCAGAATGGTACATTTGTTATAATCAATGAACTTACAATGATATACCATTGTTACCCATAGTGCATAGTTTACACTAGAGTTCACTCTTGGTTTGGTACATTCTGCGAATTTAGGTAAACTTATAGTGACATATATCTACCATTATAGTATCATACAGAGTATTTTAACTGCCCTAAAAATTCTCTATATTCCACTTATTCATCCCTTCCTCCAATCCAACTCCTGATGACCATTGATCTTTTTACTATCTCCACAGTTTTGCCTTTTCCAAAATGTCATATAGGTGAAATCATACAGTATGCACCCTTTCCAGGTTGGTTTTTTTTCACTTAGATTACTAAATGCATTTAAGTTTCATGTATGCATTTTTTGTGACTTGATAGTGCATTTCTTTTTAGCTCTAAATAATAGTCCATTGTACAGATGTACCACAGCTTATTTATCCATTCACATATTGAAGGGCATCTTTTTCCATTTCAAGATTTGTCAGTTATGAATAAAGCTGTTTTAAACATCCATGTGTAGACTTTTGTGTAGACATAAGTTTTCAACTCTTTTGAATAGATACCAAGGAATGTGATTGCTGGACTGTATGATAAGAGTATGTCTAGTTTTGTAAGAAACCACTAAACTGTCTTCCAAAGTGGCTGTACCATTTTGCATCCCCACCAGCAATGAATGAGAGTTCCTGTTGTTCCATATCTTTGCCAGCATTTGGTGTTGTCAGCGTACTATACTTTGGTCATTCTAATAGATGTGTAGCAGTGTCTCATTATTGTTTTAATTTGCATTTCCCTGATGATTTATGATGTGGAGCATCTTTTCTTATGTTTATTTTCCATCTGTATTTCTTCTTTAGTGAGGTATCTGTTATGGCCTTTTGCCCATTTTCTAAATTGGGGCTTTTTTGTTTAATTGTTGAGTTTTAAGAATTTTTAAAAAATATTTTAGATAACAGTCCTTTATCAGATATGTCTTTTGCAAATATTTTCTTCCAGTCTATGCCTTGCCTTTTCAACCTCTTGACAGTGTATTTTGCAGAGCAGAAATTTTTCATTTCAATGGAGTATAAGTTATTAATTCCTTCTTTCAAGGATTGTACCTTTAGTGACATATCTAAACGATCATTTTTCTCACAGTAGGATAGTTGGGAAAACTACACTAAGTTATTAAAAGTAAATTTGTACAAAAATAACAACACCGTAAAGAGGCTAGGGCATTGGCTTCCTCCCATAAAGAACTAACTGTCACAGAAATTGCTCTCCCAGTGATATAGATGTATAGGTCAATGTAACAGAATAGGGAGTTCAGAAATAAATGGACACAAAAATAGTCAACTGATTTTTAATAAAAGTGCCAAAATAATTCAATGGATATAATATTTTCAACAAATGGGACTAAAATAACTAGATATTTATATGGAAAATATGAACTTAAAAACCTTATATCATATATATAAAAGCCAGTCAACTGTCAATGCATTATAGAGGTAAGTGTAAGAGATAAAACTATAAAACTTCTAAAAGAAAATAAAAGAGAAAATCTTTGTAACCTTTTGTTTGTAAAAAACTATTTAGGACATAAAATGCATGAACCAAAAAATAAGAAATTATAAATTGGACTTTAGAATTCAAAATTTGCTCTCCAAAGAACATTGTTAAGAAAATAAAAAGGGAAGCCATATAGTGAAAGAAAATATTTTCAGAATATATATTTGATAAAGGATTTGTATACAAAATACATAAAAATCTCATTGCTTAATAATAATAACATAACCCAATCAAAAAATGACAGAAAGAGTTTTTAAAAAAACACTTCACAATGAAGACATATGAATGCAAAAAGTACATATTCACTGTCACTGGTTATCAGGGAATTTCCAATTCAAACTACAGTAAGATTCCACTACACATCCAATAGAATGGTTAAAATTAAAATATTGACAATACCAAGTTCTGACATTGCTGTGGAGCAACTGGAACTCTCATATCTTGCTAGTGAGTATGTAAAATGTTACAGCCACTTTGTAAAACAGTTTGACAGTTTCTCATACAGTTAAATATAGACTTACCATATGACCTTGCAATTATACTGCTGAGTATTTACTCAAGAGGAATGAAAACATACATTCCTGCAAAGGTATATATGTGAATGGTCATAGCAGCTTTTTCATAGTAGCCCTAAACGGAAAAGTATTTAATGTCCACCAATAGGTAAATGAATAAACAAACTGTGGTATGTCCCTGCAATGGAATACTACTTAGCAATAAAAAGGAATGAACTACTGATACATGCAACAACACAGGTGAATTTCAAAAGCATTATTCGGAGTCTAAGAAGACTTAGACAAAACAATACATACTATATTATCCCATTTATATGAAATTCTATAAAAGATAAAACTATAGTGACAGAAAGTTGATCGGTGGTTGCCTTGGCTCAAGGATAAGGAGAGGGTATTAATTGCAAAGGGGCAAAAGCAGACAGAACTTTTTAGTGTGAAAGAAATATTCTACATCTTGATTGCAGTGGTGGTTACATGACTGGTTATCAATATTCTGAAAGTTTAAATTAAAATTTGTGAATTTTAGTATATGTAAATTATACCTTGAAAGAACTGATATTTTAAAAGGCCTACTTTAAAAATTCTAATTCAGAAAATTACAACATAAAATTTTGTTCTCTGTTACATATGTGTGAAATTGTGTTCTAGGCTCTATGTTTGTCAATGAACCTTGTGGTAGAGCTTGATGTCTGTCTTGGTGCACAACTTTGTTTTCTTATCACGATGTTGTCTTACCTCTTTTTTGTTGGTGTTTAAATCAAAAGTCAAATTTCACATAAAACTTGGAAGCCAATTCAATGTCATTTTATATTAAATATTCAGGTTTTGTTCTAAGAACTGTGTGGGGCACACAAACTTCCTCCACTTTTTTCCTCCAGGGCCTGAAAACCCTGAGATGGGGGTGTAGATCAGGAACACAGACAGTGAGAAATTCAGGGAGAGGGTAAAAGGGGACTTCTGTCTCTCCCTTAGTGACTTCTCATACCTGGAATATTGGGATGAGGCTGCTCAACAGAAAGTGATCGGGGTGATTCACATAAGCAAAAATTTTTAAGGGCAGGATTAACATTTGGGAATCACTTATCTATGGTATTCGGGTAACCGTTCTAAGCACAAAGCATTGTTAAGTACACAGGATTTAGACACAGGCCATCCTGGATTTGAATCTTGGTTCTGCTAATTCTTACCTGTGTACCATTTGGAAAGTCATTAAACCTCTCACATCCTCCATTTGTGCATCTCTAAAATGGGGATACAGTTATCCATCTCACAGCATCAACGTGAAGATTAAATGAAATAATATATGTAGAATGCTTAGTACAGCACCTGGCACATAGTAAGTGCTAAATACATGGAAATGATTTCCATGTTTTTGTTTGGTTTTTCTGCATTCACTGATTGCTGCCTGCTCTGTCCTTAGATCCACAAGGGGGCCCTAAAAGTGGAGCTCCTGGGAGAGAAAAGCAGGAGCCCTGTGACAGCAGGCAAGCAGGGAACAAGAGGAGTAGGACAGCTTGCAATTGTCAGTCTGGAGGTGGAACTCGGCAGCTGGGGAAATGGGAAGCAGGCACGGCCAGCCACTTCCAGGACAGAGGCCCTTGCCTCAGGACATCCATTCTTTATTTTTCTTTGGTTGGCTTCTTCTATTTATTTGTTTATTTTCAATTTACTTCATTTTCTTACATTTAAAAGGTGATATTCTCTAATAGTAAAACAGCTTTTAAAAACACAGAGATCACTTAAGGGCATACTACTAAGTGAAACAAGTCCATCTAAAAAGGCTACGTACTGTATGATTTCAAGTATATGGTATTCTGAAAGAGGCAAAACTGTGGACAGATGATAAAGGGATCAGTGTTTGTCAGGATTGGGGGTGGAAAGAAAGATTAGGTAGAGCACAGGGGATTTTTAGAGCAGTAAAGTTGCTCAGTATGATACTAGAAGGGTGAATACATGTCTTCATACATTTGTCAAAATCCATAAAGTGTACACCACCGAGAGTAAACTCTAATGTAAACTATGGACTTTGGTTGATAATGAAGTGTCATTTTTGGTTGATTGCTGGTAACAAATATACCACTCTGCTGGGGGATGTTGATGGTGTGGAAGTCTGCATGTGTGGTGGGAGGGGTTACATAGAAACTCTTTATACTTTTTGATCAATTTTGCTATGAATTGATTGCTATGAATTGCTATGAATTAATTGCTACTAAAACTTCTGTGATAAACAAAATCTACTAATTTTTAAAGATGAAACAAACTACCCATGATCCCACCACTTATTAAAAATAGGTGAATTCTTATTCTCCTTTAATGGCCCTTGTGCACACACACATAGATTTTCATATAGCTGTGATTACTGAAGGATAACCACTTGACCTTCTGCATTATAATTAACCACAGAATAGTATGCTCATTCCTTACAAGAAGCCAAAAGTTTTAATTGCTTAAGCATTTCTGCACTTAAACTAATGTATTTGTGAGATGTATTAGATATCAAACCTTAATGGAGGAGCAGAGGGTAGAAAGCTAACATTTCTGGAGCACTAACAAGGTACCAGGCCCTATGCCAGGTGCTTTACACATTTTATTTTATTTCATCCTTGTAACAGCTATATGAGGTAGGTGTTATTATCTCCATTTTGTGGCGAAGCAAACTGTAATTTAAAAATAATTATCAGATTAACCAAAGATCATCCTTGGGCAAGCTTAGATGATATTTACCAAAGTGTGTTTTGTGAAACCCTGTTTTCACAGGAGGTTAAAAAGCAGATAAATAGCTAATGGATGGATGGGTGCATGCACAGATAGCTATAGATGGATAGCCATATATGTGTATAGTTATAGGTACATATATCTCGTTCTTCTAAAAGTTTTGAGAAGATTTAGGTAAAAATTGAAGAAGCTTCTTTCTATAGGACATCTTAGGGCTTTTATATGCTAATGTCTACTGTGAATTTCAATCATTTTCCACTTTCTGGAGTAAGAATATTGCAGGAGTAGTTCCATCAAACACGATTTGAGAAACCCTAACCCATAACATTATTTATAATTTATTCAGTAGGTTAATTAGTTAATTTTAAGAATTTTCAGACTACATTCTGTATCAGTGTCCATAGAAAATTCCAAGTTTTATCTCATGATTTATTTTATCAAATGAATGATACACTTTAAGGTTAAGCCATAAAATGATGTAGAAGCATAGAATTATAGGCCTGGAAGAGATAATAAGAATTGAAATAGGACACTTCCCAGGCTTCAGAAAGGACAACACCTAAGCCATCATGGACAAACAGGTATCTAACTTATTGTAAAAGCCCCCCAGGGGAGGAAATTCCCTAATCTCCCTGTAACCTATTCCACATGCCCAGCTTTTCTGAGAAAATGATGAGTTCCTTGAAGCTCTTCTACCGTAGTGTGCAAGTGCTGAGTACTTCATTATTATATTATATGCAGATGTCTAGATTTTTAAAAGGGTGCTGGTGAGAGTAGAATAAAGATAGATCTATCTATCTAGCATATGTCTATTTATCTATTTACCTATCTATCTAATCTCTATTATCTATCTAATATCTATCTATCTATCTATCCATTTATCTGTCTATCTTCTATTTGTCTATCTACCTATCCAGAGAGTGAAGAAATTTAAAATGTTGACTCAGAATCATCTTTGACTCCTTCTTCTACCTATTTCCACAGTTTCAATTAATTATCTCATCTTGTAACTCTCCTCTCCTCTGAAGCATCTCTTGATTCAGGCTTCACCATTTTTTCTCACCACCCATGGTCGAAGACCTCCTTCTTGTTAGCTTGGATCTCTCAACTACCTCTTGAGAAATTTCCCTATCTCTACACTCTTTTCTACTTTGCCCCCACAGGGCTAACACCACCATCCTTTCTTTTCTTTTTTCTTTTTTTGTATTTGTTTTGTTTTGTTTTTAGAGACAGGGTCTCTCTATATTGCCCAGGCTGATCTCGAACTCTTGGGCCCAATTGATCCTCCTGTCTTTGCCTCCCAAGGTGCTAGGGTGACAGGTGTGAGCCACCATGCCCAGTCATCTTCATCTTAAAAGTGCAGCTCTATCATGTGCCTCCCATTTCTAACAGACCCCCTTGCCAACAGGATAAATGTGACCCCTGTAGACTGCTCTATTTAGCTGCTTGTGATTTGGTCCCAATTCCCCTTCCCAGTCTCATCTTCAATTATTCTTCACTGCACATGTAACAAACACATCACTAATACTGAATATTCTTTTCTGAATTTTCATATTTTCATGCCTTTTTTCATCCCTTCTGCATGAAATTCCTTTTCCTCCTTTCTTTGTTGTGTTCTTGTTCATGTTGAAGTCCTAGCTCCTCTGGAAATCTGCATAGGTCTGTCTAGGCCAAACTAATTGTTTTCCCACTTTTTATATTATCCAAAACTTTTACATATTTCTCACTCACATCATTTAGAATGCTATGTTGCAAAATGTGGCAGATTTCAAACAATGGGTCATCTGACTTTGATACATTCCATGAAGAAAGACAGCGGGAAGAGGCTGAGTGGAGCAAGTGAAGGGGAGACCAGAATGACTGATCAGCAAAGAAAATGTCATGGAGGTCACAGGAAAAGCAGATGGTGACCACGAGTGTGATGGTGATTGTGAGAGATGAAAAAAAAAAACATGAAGACACGTCGCCTTAAGAATGAGAGGGCTCTATCTGTAATCCAGGAAAGATGGACAGGAAAGGACTGAGGGCAGGCAGAAGTTCCTCCTGTCCTCTGGAACCCAGGGGATAGAACACTGGAAAGACAGCAGCCACACAAGCAAGAAACACCCAATGGAAGAACTCCCAACTTCTGCATCATCCTCAGGGCAGGTACTGAACAGTGTTAAGGCCAGGAACTTTGGGGCAGGGAAAGGGAAGGAGTAGTTGTCAATTTCACATCACAAGCACAGATTTAACATTGTTTTATATCAGTTATTTGTATCATTCTATAGTAAGAAAACCTGTTTCACATTTCAGTTGTTCTCAGGACTTCTCATTGGAATAGGAGATGGCAACTTGGCAATCCTCTGTGAAGCTAAGTATGCATGAATGTTCTGAATAAGTTGCAGAAGTGATTATATTTAATAGTACTGTTGAATTGGTGAATGCATAAATGAATTAGAAATGGAACTATTTTCTCTTCAGAAATCCTCATCTAAGAAGGTCTGATAGATCCTTCTTCCTAATATGTAACTTTGCAGTATATAACTTCTATATTAGTTCATAGTCGGTTTAACTAAAAGGGAATAAACTTGATTCTTGAAAACACTACAACTTATACACGTAAACAAGTATCTTTTTTCGTCCCCAAATAGTTATCTTAGACAACTGTATACTTAGGATAATGATATTGCCATTTCTGTTTTGTTATAATTTATTGAGTGTCTGCCATGTGTTGGATCCTGTTATGAATGCTTTATTATCTCAAATTTTGCAGCATTCCTAGGAGGTAAGCATTATTATCCTAATTTTACAGATGAGAAAACTAAGTAATTAACTTGTCCAAAAGAGATAACAGCTAGGTCAGCTGGTGCCAGAGCCAGTGGTCAATCCAACTCCAATCTGGCACTAAAGCTCATATTCTAATTCTGCTGTTTGACTCAAAATATTTTTTGAGAAATGCTTTAAAACCTAAGGTAGATTCATCTAATGTACTCACTAATACATCTTTGTACTTTCAGATGAATTTGAGTTTTAAAGACAGTTAAAAGACTTTTGGAATAAAATATGTTGGAAATGGTGGGAGATTGGGGCACACTCATGTGCTTGGGGAGCAAAAATGAGGTGCGATCTCGGAGGAAACACATTGAATACTTTGGGTGGTTTTTAAACGGAATTAAAAGATAATTTAAAATATCATTGATTTTGGAATTTCTAGACCACCATAAATACTGAAAGAGTGATATTTGGTATAAAAAATGTGAACATTTTTATTTTATAGCAAACCTATAATTCCATCATTGAATCTTAAGATTAGAAGGACTAATATGTATCACTGAATATTTTTGCTCAAATACCATATTAGTGAGTGGCAGAGCAAACCTTTGGACCCCAGACTATCAGACTCTAAATTCCTTTCACTGTATGTCTTTGCCCCCAGACACTTTGGAAAATAATTTTAGAGCCCAAGGCCCTGCCTAGTGAGACTATGCTGCGCTAAAACCCTCCGGGGATGATAAAGATATCTCTGGCCTTTTACTCATTCACACCCTCAACCCAGGACTTTTCCTTGACCAGTTTGTAACTATTAGGAAATCCTCTTCTTTCATATGAAGTAGAAGTTCATCTCCATGTATTAGGTACTTCAAGATTTTGATAAATACATGCAATTTCATGAGCAAAAAGAAGTTAATTTAGACATATTCTAAAGAGACGATTCTCCAACGAAATTAAAGCTCACAGGCAGATAAACCTGAATATCTCTTGCCAGACGGGTGGTTTTTTTAGCTGTCACCCAACCTAACTTTCAGAGTAGACTCTAAGGAAAAGCACCAAAATACTTTTCTGACGTTTCCATATTTAGCACAACACCACATAAAATTGCTAAATACCATATAACCACACTTACCATCCTGGGGCCTATAAATTCTGAATTCAGACACTTGATTACAAACCACAAAATGACTCTGTTTAAGAAATAGTACGTGGGATTGCAAGAGAGCTGCCCCTATTTAGATGTTCTTCTGGTTATTAACTTAGTAACATGGGCTTTTTTCCCCCCTCTCTTCCTTCTCAATCCTTCGACCATGGCTGTCATCTCCAATTTCTGGTACAGTTGCATGAGTATTGGGGGGGTATGCCTGCAAGAGATGGGCGAGCATTTTCTGCTATAATTATAGTCCAAAAGGAAAATAAGCACATACGTTTTTGGTTTCGCAGTAAAATTCCATAGCAAAACAGGAGTCAATCAGCAAGTTTTGGGAAGGCGAATGTAGGATTGAAAATTCCCTTCTACCATCTAGGGGTAGCCCAGGCACCACTGTGGTGTTATTTTTCTCTCTACTCAGTTGCGAGGTCACCCTTGCTCTCAGGATTCATAAGCCATCCTTGTCTGTTCCATAGCTATACACCCATATCTAACCAGACCCATTAGGCACATTAAACAGTAAATAATGAGAATCACAATCTCGATATTTTTTTCCTTTATAGAAATAAAACCATTAGCTAAGCCAGTGGAGGGCACTCACCCCCTAACAGGGAAATACCTCAGAAGCACACAGAAGTCACCTTCCTGCTAACCAGAGCTTCCCTTACCTTTTACCAAGGCTGCTACTTCTAATACACTTGTTTAAATAGATTAGGAAATTATAAAATTTAGAACTGCTTAAATATTATTGATGACAGAATTTTGACTTTTAAATATAAATTCCTCATTTTATCCCTCTATGATAGTAAATGCCACCTCTTCTTGTAACCCAGAAGCCATGCCCCAACACTATGAAGAATTCTTTAATAATTTTAGAAACCCACGTTGAGACTTTACCAAGTTCAAGAGATATGCTAAATGCTTTACAATGCCTTACCTAAATCTTAGGAATTAGATACTGTTATCTGCATTTTCAGCTAAGAGGATTGTGAATGAAAACAGTTCTATATCTTAAGTAAAATCATAGAATTATGCGACAGAGACAGAATTGCATTCGTCCCCTTAACCACTGTACTGGAAAACCTTTCTAGACAGACGTCCAGCCCTGAGGCTGCATACAATGAGAACTTCAATATCAGCCAGGGTGTGGGGAGGCAAGCAACAGATATTGACTCTGGATTGTTTCAGAAAAAAGAAAACTTAACGAGGAGCCCATAGGAACTTTGCAAAAGTTGAAAGTCCAGGCCCAGAGGTGCTGCAGTCAGGAACAATATACCAAAATTGCACTGCAAGATGGGTCCAGGAAGGATGGCTGCAGAGCTGCTGTCACTGTGCCCTAGGCCTGCACTTAAGCTGTGATACAATGGATCTCAGACACTGGACACAGATGCTGGCACTGCTCCTCTGTTGCCCCAAGAACTTGATCTCATCATAGCAATGGCCCTCTCTGCCAGGAAAGATTCTTCTCAATCCTTGCTTCCTTTCATCTTTGGTCCCCTATTCAAAGATGCATTTGACTGGAGGAGCCAAGGTCACACACCCACACATGACCAACAATGGCGCCTGGGAAAGTGAGTTTGGAGCATTTTTAGCTTCTATGTTGATAGATGTCTGTACCTCCCACCAAAACCGACAAAGTAGATATTGCCAAATGGAGGTGAGGTTTAGATGCATGGCAGCCAGAAGGAATAATAGATTCCTGCTACACCTGAGAACTAGAGTGGCAAGATTTCTAGCACCATATAATTTACTCCTTCATCCACATGAGTATAAGATGCTCCTCCCCTCAGCCCTGTGATTCTCAGATCATCAGTATGTATATATCAGGGCTTGTGGTTCACCAGAGTGTTCTGTGGACTATGAGTGGTGTCATCAGAGATCCTGAGTCATGCATAGCTACTATTTAAAAAGAAGATAGAAAAAAATTTTTAGTACTTGTGAAAGCTTGGTGCTGGTGAATCAATGCTCTGTGGATTGAGGCTAAAGAACACTGTGTCCAGAGTAACTGCATTTTGGATGAAAAATAAAAGGGCTTCTGTAAACTCGTAATTATTCTTCTGGTTGTGTTCATGGTAAATGCCAACAGTATGGATGTCAGCTTCTAACTCAGCCAATTTGTTGACCAGATCCAGTTTATATTTACCAGAACTCATCTCCCAGAGTTCCTCCACGATAAAAGAGAAAGAAGAGGAATATCTTTATTAGAGGAAGGATAATACATCTTGCCTGGTGTGGAAATCTGTTGTGCTTCTTCGCTCTGCTTTCATTCTTTCTTCTTTCATTAATACCATAGTAAGCCTTTGGCAATGACCCAGCTCTGCTGGTTCTAGGGATATCCATGTGACCAAGATTTAGATTATGAAAATACCTGTATATAGTGACTGGTTCAGGGAAGGGCATGTGATACAGAACATCCTAATCAGAACATTTCAGGTCTCTCACAGAACCACTGGGAAGAAGTTCTCTCCACTGAAATTGCTGAGCTGGTAGGTTGTGTCTGGAGCTTTTGATGAACAGCTTGCCCCTGTAAGGTAAGGGCCTATCTGAGAAGAGACCCAACAGAGAAACTCAAGCAGATTTTTCTTTTTTAAAATTGAATACTTAGAACATAATTTTAACGCCCAGATCAAGCCAGGTTCAGAGCCAATAACCTTGGGCTTTTCAATTACATGAGCTTATAAATTTCTTTTCTCTCTTACACCAGTGTGAATTGGGTTTCCTATCACATGCAACCAAAGAATCGTAGCCAATTGACCCACCTTATTTATTTATGCAGTTCTGGGCTGCGTTGGTTAAAGGAAGAAACCCAATAACTAGTTGTCTGAATGCTGTAGAAGAGAATCATGGTTTGGGTAGAGAATTAGTTTAAATGTTTTCTTCGAAACTTAAGAGTCTAGGATTGTATGAATAAAGACAAATTGGAAGCATTTGGGAAAATACATTAGATGCTGTCTCAGAAAAAGATAATGATGGGATTGCCATTTAGCACAACAAAAAACATCACCCAAATTAGGTTGGTAACTATTTTAAGTTCCATTTAGCTTCTCGTGGTAATGCTTTTCATAAGTACTTTGTAATTTCTAAGTTTGTGAGGCTTAAATAATTACGTAATTACTTTGCAACAACCACAGAGTTCTATTTGGTTCAGCAGCTACTTTAAGCCATGTTAAGTTTTTCATTATAAATTATATTACATTTAGTACATAATTTATAGTTTCTGTGACAAGAATAACCATATCATGCAACTATTCTGTAATGGCATAGCAATTACTCTCATATTGTGGTAACTTCCAGTGGAGTGGATATTTCTTCTGTAATTACAGAAATGATAACATCAAATCTAACAATTTCTTGGTGATAACATTTATAAATACAAATTCAACTATAATTCATTGGCTTCTTCTTGGCCATTCTAGCTGAGCAAAAAAATAAAAATAAATGGAATAAAATGTTTTTCTGCCACTTTAATATTAGATGATATTTAGCAAGTTTGTGCAACATACTTGGAAGCAGATCCTGTGTAAGGAGATCAAAGTATATTATTTGCCTCCATTTATACTCAGGCAACAAATAGGCCTTGATCAATTACAACAGTTCAAGATCAAGGGATTATGCAGGAAAGTTATATTTTATTGTAACATAAACCCAGTTGACAAACCACCCTGAAAGATGTGGTGTGAGAGATAGGCTTCCGTATGGCCTGGAAGGAAAGTGAAAGGCACAGGATGTGGAATTAGAAACCTGAGTTTGAGTCTAACTTTGCCATTTCCTACCTAGGTGATCTTACCAGCTGTATAATCTTTCTGAGTTTGTTTCTCTTTCTGTAAATTTGGCTTAATCGTACTTATCTCATAAGGTTTGTTGCAAAGCCAAAAAACATAATGTATTTGAAAGGGTTATGTCAGGTACAAACTAAATATCAGATACTATTAAAGAAGGAAGCCGTTTGCTCTCATTCAACTTACTCGGTTTGAAATAAGATACCCTTCCTTCATATAAACTTTAATAATGAAAGATTTTTTTTAAAAAACAGTGCCTACTATGTATGAGAGGCTGCACTAATGCAAAATATTTCTCATGGTATCTCTTTCCTTTTTTTATTTTTATTTTTTTGGTACAATCTCTACTTTCTCCTATAAGGTATACTGTTTGAGGGCTTTTGCATATTAGTGAGAAGCACGCATTTTCTTAGACAAACAAGGAAAAAAAATGTAAACAAGAAGTTGTTTCTTCGCCAAAGGGTTTGGTTATGGAATACAATGCAACATTCCAATCAGCTTTCAGAAAACAAATATCTGAGTCTTATCTGGAGGATATCACTATAGTTTTTCAGGACTTGCTAGTTAAGTCTTAGGAAGCACATTTTTGGAATATAGACGGCTATTTAATCTTAGATAGGTAATTTCAGCTAGTTGATAGTCTTCAAGTCTTTAGACAGTAACTCTATACCACTTGTTAAGTTTAATTGGTTTAATATAAAGTATAATGTGCACATACTGTTGTCTTGGATTTTACAAAGTTGTGTTTGTTATTATCAATTTAGAAATGGGGATTTTAAAGGGATATAAAGGTTTTATAGAACTTTTGTTATATGTGAATGTCTGTATTAATACTACAATATATACAATTATACAATTACATATACAATTATATATTTGTATATACAAGTATATGCAATTATAATATATACAATTATATATTGTAGCAGTTTTTGTGGGTTCTTAAGATGTGAATAAGGAATAAAGAATTAAATCATCTTCCTTTAAGGATGAAAGAAAAGAGCAGTATCTTTCCACGTTGATCTCTTTCCCTATCAGAGTTGAGTACTAGAAGACCTCTTGCTATAGAAGAAGCTACTTTGAATATGGCTGGACCAGGAATGTTTTTGTTTGTACGAAGAGTTGAAGAGGTTATATACTGTGTAATATCTCTAGATTCCTGATGATTCAGTAAAGTTTTCTTATTAGTTACATTTATGTATTATTTTTACAAAACTTCTGTACAAAGTACCATAAAATGGATAACTTAAACATCACACATTTTATTGTCTGACAGTTCCGGAGGTGAGAAGTCCAAAATAAAGCTGTCAGCAGGGTTGGCTCCTTCTGAAGGCTGTTCAGGCCTCTGTCCTTGGCTTGCAGATGATGTTCATGTTCACGAGGTGTTCTCCCTCTGTGTGTGCATAGGGACTGAATGCTTGTGTACCCCCCAAAATTCATATGTTGAAGACCTAATATCCAATTGGAAGGTATGTGGAGATGGGGCTTTTGGGAGGTCATGAGGATGGGGCTCTGGTCTGATGGGATTAGTGCCCTTACAAGAAGAGAGACCATGGAGCTTGCTCTGTCTCTCACATATGCATACAGAAGTCATGTGAGCACAGAGCAAGATGGCAGCCACGTATAAGCCAAGAAATGAAGCCTCAGAATGAAGCTACCTTGCTGGAACCTTGATCTTGGCTTTTCCAGCCTCCAGAACCTTGAGAAGTAAATTTCTGGGCCAGGCACCGTGGCTCACCCCTGTAATCCCAGCACTTTGTGAGACCGAGGTGGGAGAATCACTTGAGCCCAGGAGTTTGAGACCAGCCTGGGCAACATAGAGAGACCCTTTCTCTACAAAAAATTTAAAAAGTAGCCAGGTGTGGTGGCACATACCTGTAGTCTCAGTGACTTGGGAGGCTGAGGTGGGATGATGGCTTGAGCCTGGGAGGTTGGGGCCGCAGTGAGCTATGATCGTGCAGTTGCACTCCAGCCTGGACACAGAGTGAGACCCTGTCTCAGAAAAAAAAAAAAAATCTGTCGTTTAAGCTACTTAGTCTATTTTATTTTATTATGGCAGAACAAACTAAGATGGTGCCTTTATCCTAAGTTCCCCTTTTGATAAGAACATCAATGATATTGGATTAATTGGATTAGGGCTTACTCTAATAACATAACTCAAACTTGATTATCTCTGTAAACACTCTATCTCCAAACATTCTGAGATACTAGAGGTAAGGATTTCAGCCTACGAATTTTGGGAAGGGGGCACAATCCAACTCCTCATAATTTCCTTTCTAACTGATGTATAAAGCGATTTCCATAGTGCAAATAGCTTGCGAATTATTTTTTTCCAACAATTTCATTGACACATAAATACAATACACTGCACATATTTAAAATATACATTTTGATAAGTTTTGACATGTCTACATGTATGAAGACATCACCACAATCAGATGTGGTTCTCTATTTCTTCTGTTTCTCCCATCTGCTCTTTACTCTTCTTTTCTTGTTTTTTTGCCTTTGTTTTTTTTTGTTTTATTTTTAATGAATCAAGCATTTTTAAATACCCATTTTTAATGACTTTAACTTCTTTTTTTGGCTTATTAGCTACAACTTCTTTCTTTTGTTAATTTGGTAATTGCTTTAGGGCTCATATGATACCCTCTGCGTTAGTGTAGCCTACCTTCACATGTCACTTCACATATAGCATAAGAACCTTACAAGAGTGTGCTTCTCCCATCCTGGCCTTTGTGATATTTTGTCATATATTTTATTTTCACATGTTATAATCTTCACAAAACACCTTATTATTTTGAATAAATAATAAATATTTTTTAAGAGAATTAAATATTATGAACAAAACCTTACGGATTTACTCACGTAGTTACTATTTCAGCTGTTCTTCCTTCTTTTGTGTAGATGCATATTTCCAACTAGAATTATGTCCTTCTGCCTGAAGGACAATATTTACTATTTCATCTACTGTAAGTCTTTCAGCTTTTGTATGTCTAAAAAAGCTTTTAGTTGCTTTCTTTTTGAAAAATATTTTTACTGTGCCTAGAATTCCAGATTGATTGTTTGGGTTAGCCCTTCTCCATACTTTAAAGATATTACTCCACTGGATTTGGACTAACACAGTTTCTCATAAGAAATCTACTGGCATCCTTATCTTTGTTTATCTGTAGTAACATGTCTGATTTTTTTTCTCTGGTCACTGTTAGGATTTTCTGTTTAAAACTGGTTTTGAGCAATTTGATTTTGATATGCTACAGTGACGTTTTCTTAATGTTTGTTGTGTGCGGGGTTTGTTGAACCTCTTGGTTTTGTGGGTTTCTAGTTTTCAATGAAGTTGAAATATTTTAGTCATTATTTCTTCAAATATTTTTTCTGTCCTCATTTCATTTTTTTTAAATTATTTTTTATTTCTGTTTTTCATTTTGAAAACTTTCTATTTCTATGTCTTCAAGTTCAATAATCTTTCACTTTGCAATATTTTATCTGCCATAAATCCCATGCAGTGTATTTTTCATCTCAAACGTTGTAGTTTTCATCTCCAAAAGTTTGATATTGTTCCTTTTAAAATCGCTGACGTCTCTAATAAAATTTTGAACATATGGAATATGATTTTAACAACTGTTTAATATCTTTGTCTGTTCATTCCAATATCTGTGTCAGTTACTAGTGATTGTTTTTTCTTCTCATTATAGGTTGTATTTTTCTGTTTCTTTGTATGTCTGATAATTTTTGATTAGATGGTAGACATTGTGAATTTTACCTTGATGGGGGCTGAAACTTTTGGTATTCCTCTAAATATTTTCTTTATTATATTATATTATATTATATTATATTAATTATATTATATTATTTTTTTTGAGACAGAGTCTTGCTCTGTTGCCCAGGTTGGAGTGCAGTGGTGCGATCTTGGCTCGCTGCAACCTCCACCTCCTGGGTTCACGCGATTCTCCTGCCTCAGCCTCCTGAGTAGCTGGGATTACAGGCATGTGCCACCACACCCAGCTAATTTTTCTATTTTTAGTGGAGATGGGGTTTCACCATGTTGGCCAGGATGGTCTCAATCTCTTGACCTCGTGATTTTCCCGCCTCGGCCTCCCAAAGTGCTGGGATTACAGGCATGAGCCACTGTGCCTGGCCTCCTCTAAATATTTTCAAGCTTTGGTCTGGAACACAGTTATCTGGAAATAGTTTGATCTTTTCAGGACTTGCTTTTAAGATTTGTTAGGTGAGACCAGAGTCATATTTTGTCTAGGGTGAATTATTTACCACTACTGAGGCAAACTCTTCTGAAAACAACCCAATACCCCAGTTTTGCTGGTGAGAAAAGACAGTATTCCAAGTCCTGTGGAAATGCCAGGTCTAATTCTTTATCACCCTCTCAGGTGGTTCTTTCTCAGGCCTTGTGTAATTTCCTCACTGTATATGCTGTGTGCACTTGAGGGTCATCCTCTACAGATCTCCAGAGTTCTCTGTGCAGCTCTCATTCCCAGTGTTCTGCTAGGCAAATTCTAGCTCCCTTGGTCTCCCTGGATTCCCAGCTCCTTCTCAACTCAGGGAGTCTGCCAGGTTCTGGAAACTGCCTCTTTGCAGTAAGCTGGAGCAATAAAAGGACTCAGTTTGTTTTCTTTCACTCAGTGATCATTTTCCTTCCTTGTCTCATGCCCAGTGTTTTAAAACTAATTGTTTTATATATTTTGTCCTGTTTTATGGTTAAGATAGAAAGGCAAATTCAGTTCCTATTCCTCCAAGGTTTTTGAAACAGAAGTCCCAACATTAGTATTTTTTTCATCATTAAAACATAGACATAAAAAATAAAATAGGGCATTGAGAATTGTTACCTGTAAACAACTTTCCTTTGCTGGTTGGCAGACAGATGGTACCATCTTTTGTTAGAAACCAGAGACAAATACATTTCAAAGATGAGTGTTTCACGTTATCCACAGGCAATGTTTCCAAGTCCAGGGGTCTCCTAGGCCTAATGGACAACACTAACAAATGTGTACTAGCTCACACTCTTCTTTCTTAATACCTTTTCAGTGTTTAACCTCAAATGAGACCTTCCCCAATCCATATCCCCCAACTTTCTATCTCTTTACAATACTCTCTTCTAATCCACAAATTGAGGTTGCTGAATTCTTAGTAAGTTCTTTAGTGCAGGAGTCAGAGTATCCATGGCTGGAAACAGAAGCATCACCTTATTGTTTGAGCTAATAGGGACATTTTCCAACTATTTTTAACTCCTATAGGTGCAACTGTTTTTATTTAACGGTCAACATTACTGTTTGTATCTAATAGATCTCTGATTATTATCTCTATGCATGTATGACAGAGGTTTATCAGTGCATTTTCCTTTCACCAAAATGATAGAAGTACATAAACTCAAAAACAAAACCATACCATATTCAAAGCTCGTCACTGCCTCTCAAAAGTTGAAATTATTGTTACCCTGTTGGGGGAAAAGCTCATTTCACAAACTCAAGTATGCAGAAAATAAAATTTTATTGTTTTCTATTTTGAACCCAAATTCTATCAGGGTGGTAGAAACCCAATTTTGATCAGTATAGAGTTTTACCTAATTTCCCCCAAGTTACAGCCAAGTAAGAGTGCTTAGCATTATGAAGGGTCCATACAGTCCTCAATGTCATGTGTCCATGCAGATAGCCGGTGAGATATCCTTTACTCCATTTGCTCTTCTGCCACTCGTCCACTCAGGGTATTCCAGATGTGTCGTTCTAGGTCCAGCAGTCCTCTGTGTACTTGATGCTGCTCCTGGGCAAATGATAAACATTCTGATGCTTCTGTGTCATGATAGACCATGGAAGTTTTGCCTGAGCGTTAAGGATGCTGGCTATTTAGGATGCTGGCTATTTCTACTCTGGGTCTTGGTTGCCCAACTCTGGCCTCTCCCAAGAAATGACCCTTAAGCCTCCCTGCTCTTGGGTTGCTCCCACCTCTTCAGAGATTTTTACCACCTCTTCAGAGCTTGCTCTACACCACAATACCCACAGCCTCATTACTTCTCTATGGGTCTTCTCTTTCGTAAGCTTCGCCTATATTTGTCTCACCTGTGTATGGTGTCTGTGTGTAAACTTCACTCTTAATATTTTCTCTCAAATCGTCTGGAGTGCCTCTTTTCAGTTCCTCTAAAAGCCTAAGCAATTGAAAGATAAAAGCCAGAAGAAAGGCTCCTTTGTTATATTCATTATCTGAAGTAATGAGCACAGATAAGCCTAACTATTTTAAATGGAGCAAGGCAAAGGGCAAAATAAAGTGCTGAGAAAAGATTAACATTTAAAATATATTATGCCATCATAATGGTTTGCCCTCCTTTTTTACTTCTGTTATCTAATTTCTTTCCAGCTCTACCACTCACAAGTTATTTATATGATCTTAGGAAAGTTATTTATCTTTTCTGTTTCTCAGTCTCCACATCTGAAAAATGGGTATAGTAGTACTGGGTTATTATAGGATTAAATGCAAACAATTATGTAAAATGTTTAGGATACTTCTGGCACTTAGTGCTTATGAACTGTTAACTGTTAGTATAATTATTAGAATTCATAAGACAAGTGGCTAAAATAAAGTAAGGAAGCTGGATATTTCTGCATGTGGTGAAACTCATAATTTGAGGTCTGGAAAAGATATTAGAGATCTCTTAGCCCAGCTTCGTCATTAACAATGCACAAAGTAAAAGTCAGCAAGATGACTTGCCTAAGAGTAACTTATGGCTCAGGGAAGACTAGAATCTAGCCCTCTTGATTCCTGGTGAATACCACGAATACATATGAATATATTTCAATAAGAGAAAAGGCACTTAAGCGCTTGCTACTCACAACATTTTTTTCCATGTAACTAAGGGCAGCATCTAATTCACTTTTCTCTTAACAAAAGCAGTAGCCGTTTTGGTGCCAAGGAGGCTATTCGGTCAAGAGCAGTGGTGAACGCTGGTTTCCGCACATCTTAAGGTGTCAGCCCCCAAGTGTTCTGCCCCACGAGGGAAGTATGTCTGACAATATTTTATTACATTACCTTGAGCATACACTTACCCTCTCTGGTTCTCAACTTCCCTTTCTGTAGACCACAGGTGTTGGAATTAATATTGTTTCTCCAGTGATATTTCACAGAGCACCCATTTCAGAACCAAAGCAGATTCCCAGAGTCAACATCTCCAGGGTGGAGCCTGGGAGTCTGCATTGTCAACAAATTCCTTACATGATTTTTTTATATATATATATTTTTTATTATACTTTAAGTTGTGGGGTACGTGTGCACAACATGCAGGTTTGTTACATATGTATACATGTGCCATGTTGGTGTGCTGCACACATTAACTCATCATTTACATTAGGTGTATCTCCTAATGCTATCCCTGCCCCCTCCCCCTACCCCACAAAAGGCCCCGGTGTGTGATGTTCCCCTTCCTGTGTCCATGTGATCTCATTGTTCAATTCCCAACTATGAGTGAGAACATGTGGTGTTTGGTTTTTTGTCCTTGTGATAGTTTGCTGAGAATGATGGTTTTCAGCTTCATCCATGTCCCTACAAAGGACATGAACTCATCATTTTTTATGGCTGCATAGTATTCCATGGTGTATATGTGCCACATTTTCTTAATCCAGTCTAACATTGATGGACATCTGGGTTGGTTCCAAGTCTTTGCTATTGTGAATAGTGCCGCAATAAACATACGTGTGCATGGGTCTTTATAGCAGCATGATTTATACTCCTTTGGGTATATACCCAGTAATGGGATGGCTGGGTGAAATGGTATTTCTAGTTCTAGATCCCTGAGGAATTGCCACACTGTCTTCCACAATGGTTGAACTAGTTTACAGTCCCACCAACAGTGTAAAAGTGTTCCTATTTCTCCACTTCCTCTCCAGCACCTGTTGTTTCCTGACTTTTTAATGATCACCATTCTTACTGGTGTGAGATGGTATCTCATTGTGGTTTTGATTTGCATTTCTCTGATGGCCAGTGATGATAAGCATTTTTTCACGTGTCTTTTGGCTGCATAAATGTCTTCTTTTGAGAAGTGTCTGTTCATATCCTTCACCCACTTTTTGATGGGGTTGTTTGTTTTTTTCTTGTAAATTTGTTTGAGTTCTTTGTAGATTCTGGATATTAGCCCTTTGTCAGATAGATAGATTGCAAAAATTTTCTCCCATTCTGTAGGTTGCCTGTTCACTCTGATGGTAGTTTCTTTTGCTGTGCAGAAGCTCTTTAGTTTAATTAGATCCCATTTGTCAATTTTGGCTTTTGTTGCCATTGCTTTTGGTGTTTTAGACATGAAGTCCTTGCCCATGCCTATGTCCTGAATGGTATTGCCTAGGTTTTCTTCTAGGGTTTTTATGGTTTTAGGTCTAATATTTAAATCTTTAATCCATCTTGAATTAATTTTTGTATAAGGTGTAAGGAAGGGATCCAGTTTCAGCTTTCTACATGTGGCTAGCCAGTTTTCCCAGCACCATTTATTAAATAGGGAATCATTTCCCCATTTCTTGTTTTTGTCAGTTTTGTCAAAGATCAGATGGTTGTAGATGTGTGGTATTATTTCTGAGGGCTCTGTTCTGTTCCATTGGTCTACATCTCCTTTTTGGTACCAGTACCATGCTGTTTTGGTTACTGTAGCCTCCCTACACGATTTTTAAGCACCTGTTTGGGAATAACTGGCTCAGAAGGCTTCTAAGGATTCTTCCAGCTTTAACATACTTCAATTCTAAATTAAAGTCCCAGACCCTGCAATCTTGCCTGAAGCTTAGTCCGGGTAGTGCTGCCCTCATCAAAAAGATGGTTGATACAACATAAAATACACCTTCATTTCTGTAATGTTGTATTCAAAGTGAGCTTTTACTCTGAAGGTATCTAACCCCCACAAAGTTCATTTAACTCAGATTTTCCATCTGAACATAGAACTATCTCTTGTTAGGATAAATCACTGCATTCCTTCTCTAATTTTTGAAGTTCACTAGAACATTTCTATAACATAATCCTTGGGGGACCCTGGCATGAAGACTGTATTAGGTGACTGTATAGGTGACATGCTGCCCTAATGAAGTCCTTCTGATATTTCTAGCCATGTATCCCTATGGACTGGCCCCTTAGACAGGCCTGCCTCCCCCATTTCCCCTTGTGCAGCACCAGTGGTGGTGAGATTCTGGAGTTTAGGACATTCCAGAATGTAAGGGCCCATCCGACAATTAAAGCTTGGGGTTTGGTCAGTTTTAGCTTGGAGACATGGCTGATATTTTCTGACACAGGTTTCCTCTCCTGAGGGCAAAGGGCGAGCTAATTTCTCTCTTTGTTCAAATGTTGAGCTGGATTCCAGAGACGGCCCATGCACTGCGGCACACCTGCACATCAGGGAAATTACCCTGGGACCGTTCATGACAGCACCAAGTGGCAGGGATCTTGGCTCCAGTGTCCACTGGAAAAATGGAAGCATAAGTGATATGTAAGAATCTTGGAAAGTAGATGTTTGACCTGAAATAATTGATTTGACCTTAACATCATTCCATTGAAAAAACAAAAATAAAGCATCGACTGCAAATGAAGACCTATGGCTTGCAGTTTAAGAAATGACTGGTGCTGTGCTCTTCAGTATAGATGTATGTTTTATGGAGGCTTTTCCAGATTAGGCATGAATTGGTTTGGTTTTTCGTCTGTACTGAAGATATTTTTAGAATTCATCTTTAATCACACTGTCTCAAAACAGTGCACAAGAGCTTCTTAACTTGCTATTGTATTGCACATGTCTTGATGTTTGTATTTTTCCTGGTATGAAACTGGGAATTATTTTTGATTTGTGCACCATTATTTGGGACTACATTCAATTTAGGAGTTGTTACTGTTAAGATTCATACAGTTGGTTACAGAGTTTGTTAGCCACTTGTTGACTTTCTAGAACATTGTCCTTACAAATAAGCCTTGGTATAAGTCACCACACAATCTAAGAGATGTCTACAGTAATTGACACCACACTTACTTAAGTGTATAGATCCATCCCGAGCTATGACATCTTGGGCTATTGAAAAGGTATTTGTGATCTTTTAACTTAAATTCTAGAATGATTTCTTTTAGTTAGAAAACTATCACAACAACACTTTTCCCTTTGGACTTTCCTTCTCTGTGTGTATTTATGACAGTATTGCCTAGTCAGGATGAGGGGACTTACTAAATGGAGAGCAGAAAGCTGTCTGGTAAGCCCTGGTAAGCTGACCCATTCGTTTGTTCCTGACAAATATCAGGTGTTTTCTCATATGTGCTGATATAAGCTAGGAATTGTAATTATTTCTTTTTGGCTTTTAAAGACTATTTTTTAAGGTTATCCAAAAATATGGATTAAAAGTGGCCAACACAAGTACCCATCCTTGTCACAGGCACTGTGATTTTTTGCCAAAGAGCCTAGGTGAGCTTTTCTTTTCATTTGGTTAATCACCCTAAATTGGTTGTTCATCCCCCAAAGCCATTAATTACTCCAAAATACCCAATTTGCCTTTTTCACTCTCAAATTTATGACCATATAATTAATGAGCCTCTTAATTCTATGTTGTGCATTGACTTATTCAGCAGTGAAACGTGACACTGTGTTAGGATTAGATCGTTGGGTTCTTTCCAATAAATGAAACATTAGATTTCTAGAAAATTTGCTGTGGCATGTCTGAGCCAATTCAAGATTAGATGGCTCAACATGCGAATTACCCATCTGTATAATGTGTAACTACCCGTAAATCTTATCTCTTTCAACATCAGCAACTCCCTAACGCTTTTTTTTTCTTTCTATTCATCAGCTACTTCTAGGTGAGATATGAAACTGGGCTCTTAAAAAAATTTCTGGAACAAATTTACCATGGGAACTGAGTTTAGCATCTTAGTATTCAGTTTCCCTTTGAAAAGTGAACCCAGAAATGTCTCCCTTACTTTATGTGCCCATGTATGGGTTCAGCCAGTTATCATTTTAGCTCTAGACTAAAATGGTTAGCTCTGCAAGGCTCCACATCCCGTGAATACTTTAAAAGTACCTTTTGATCAAGTCAATAACAAACTATTATGGTGCCCATCGAATGCTTAGAAATCCTTGGAAGAAAGGACTTAAAGATAGATAAGCAATTCTGCAGTTGAAGTCTGTAACTTCTTTGTAGTTGCCAGGGCTCTTTCACTCTGGGACTGCTGATGTGGAGAAAGGTTCTCTTACTACCCAACCTATATTGGGTAGTAAGTGTATAGAAAGCTACACACTGAAACATGTAAGAATTCACCAAGGGGAAATTGAATTTCATTGTGAGATAAAATGTTGAAAGAAAATGTTTTCACCAAAATATTTTCTTTCCCAATTCTGTCACTGCTGGCGGTGGAGGTTTCATTTGGGTCTCCTTCAGGCTGTGTGGAGCCTGAATAATGCACTTTCAAACACAGATTCTATGTATGGGCCAATCTTTGGTTAATTTGACAATTAAGATTTTTCTTTGTTAAAACCAAATGGAAAGAAAATGGGAAACGCTGCTGAAATTTCTGTCAAATGTTGCAATTCAAGTCACTCTTTAGACAAAAATATTATTCCTTTAAAATATTTTATGTGAAATAGAAACAGTTTTGTGATAAATTTCACTTCTAGTCCTTTCTAGAAGTCAAAGATCATCAAGTGAACTCATGTCTAATTCACTTGTCACTTACACAACCTTATTTATAGTTTCATTCTCCAGAAAATGAGTAACGATTGTCCAGCTGAATAATCCTAGCCCCAGATATTATGTAATTGTATCTTTCAAATTCTGCCAAGGTTTTAAGATACTGATAACTATTTTAGATCACCTTTGTGCTATTAGGGAATATTATGTATGTTTTGGCAAAAAAAAATTTTATAAAGCTTCATTATACATATGCACGTGCATGCATGCTAATATGAAATAGGGAAATACAATTTGACGTAAAAATTCACTAATCCCAGTGTCATTGTTTATGACTACACTTTCATTCACTTACTTATTCAAAATTATGGGATGTTTCCAATACATCACACACTTCCTACAGCTGGAATACAGAGCTGAATACATGCGTTCTTCTCAGGAGAAGCTCCAAATTTAGTTGATTAGACAGATCTACTCACATCAACTTCATACCAAAGTGACGAATGCTACCTTAGAGATAGAAACAAGGTAGATTAGAGTGGATTTTATTTTTTATTTCTCTTTTTCCATAGTTTCCAAGTTTTCTAAATGAGCATGTATGACTTATACAATCAGAAAACAAAACAATAAATGTGATAAAATCAGACACATAAGAATAACAATAAAGGAAAAACCTTTATTTTTTTTTTATTTATTTTTTAACCAGAGGGAAGAGAAAAGAGCTTTGCTAGGAAAGCTGGGAAAGCCTTCAGAGAAGGTAACGCCATGGTGCCATCGCTGTGGCTCTTATAACTATTACTAACAACATAAACTTAGACATAGAGACCAAGTTATGTTTTTCAGGCCTCTCTCTGTGTATGTTGAAGCTTAATCAGGCATATTGTTAGGTGAGATTAAAACACCTGTCACTACAGTGAAGGAAAGCTAAATTGATGAATCGTAGAGGTGGGTAGGAGAAAACAATTTCAACTAGAGACAATTCCTAGAGATACTCTTATTTCCGTGTGTTGTGAAGAAATTACCTCTTTTTTATATTTGATTTTCTAACATCTATGACAATGCCAAACATATAATGGTACTGAATGTGTATTTGTTAAACAAATTAATTAATTAGTAAATGCTAGAGATATAAATAGATGCATGTCACCAAAAGCTACTTCTCCATATTCTAGGTTACTTTGGTGCCCAGGGCAGTAAGCTTATCAATGCAATTATACCAAATTCTTTTGAATCATAGAATGATAAGCTATAAGTGTCTGGACATCCTATAAATTTTTAAAAATGTACTATATTAGATTACATAAAAAAGGAAGAAAATATTCAATTCACTTGCGGTGTTAGAAATTTATTCCAAAGCAAGTCATCCAGTTGAGGTGGTGAATTTGTAGGCCAACTCTAGGAAAGTCATTAATCTTCGGAAAAATCTCTTAATATTTAAAGATTGTTGATACAGAAACCCAAATCTCTTAATATTTAAAGATTAAATCTTAAGATTTTAAGGTTGTTATACTTCACAAATCTAGAGTGAAAACAATGGGGGAGCTAGGGGTTGCATGGGTGGAGACAGGGGACAGGGAGCTCCTGCTTGCCATCAAGCCTCACTCTGGACCCTCAAGGTTCTCCATGAAATGAGTGTGAAGAATTTTGCCTATCAAATTTTGTTCTTGGAGTGATGTGATGATTACAGAACTTTAGATTATAGATCTGAAGTAACAAAACCTGAACCCTGTATGAAAATCTTAGTTTCATTTGTGTTCTTGATGTCTCCTAACATCCTATGGTATAGAAGTCCCTTGAAAGGCTTAGGTCTTCTATTAATTAGTCTGCATATCAAAGGGTGTTCTGTAATATGTGGGGCCTTTACATCTCTGCCAACCATGATGGGCTGCTTTGGTGGCATCTTGCCAAAGCCACAACAGTTGAGTGATGACCTGCTTTACCAGCCAGAACATTTAATCAGTTATCCTGAAAGAAGAAGTGCCTTTAGTATTTCAGTTCATAGTGTCAATCAGGCACTGCTGTGAGGAGGCAGGCTCTTTCAACCAGTTGAACTTGGATGAGTTGCAAATCTTTAGGTTGAAGAATGATCAGGGTGGCTTATTGCAGTTGTTGTAGATACTTTGCTTTGCAGTATGTAGCACCTGTGCAAATAGAGCATCCATTAGTTTTTGTGCATGGTACCGTACCAGCTTGCTTTGGTCAATGCCAGGATTGTATAAATGGTAAATAATGTTTTCAGATACTGGAAACATATAAAATTTGTCTTTCCTATCCCAATAATCCTTTCTTTGCTCAATTCAAAGTCCTAATTCTTGGTTTCAGAGGTTAGTCTTCTCTAGGGATACCGTAAGAGTTTAAATAAACTTGTAACATTTGACTGCCACCTAGATATTTTGATCTCTAAGCAACTGAAAAAGGAAGGATAACACTTGGATCCCAAGAGATTCACCAGGGCATTTCTTGGTGATTCCATGCCCATTGGTAACTGTAAGTGGGTGAGATCAGCAACCATGGCTCAACAAGAGTGAAACAACTGAAGCTCCAACCTTATACAGATAAAGTTCTGTCTCTTCTCACAATGTAAGAAACCAGACCTGCTGAAATGTTGGTCAAATCAGGGAATCTAGAATGGGGGAAGGGAGTAGAGAAAGGGAGGAGATGAATATTAATTGCAGTGGCTGAAGCAGGGTCTGTCACTTATTCACTAACTTTGTGCATTGTTATTTTACAGCTTGGGGCCAGTCATCATCTTAAAGGCTCTGTGGCAGCTTGGACTTGAAGTAGGGTGCACCCGGAATTGACCAATACAAACAGTGGACTGCACTGGATTCTTCTTGTGCCCTGTCTCATATCCTCTTGTCCCACCTTTTCATAACAGCCATTGCCATGGGAACCAGCTGCATCCAGGTACGACCTGACAGCACCCTGCTTCACTGTCATGGTGCTCCTGCAGCATTCTGGTTAGCCATCATGTTGCACACACAGACCTGGAAGGGTCAGGGAGTTGCCCATGGCAACTCTTGGCCACCAAGGGAAAGGACTAGCTCGATAGCACACTCTTGCCTTGCGTTTCCCTATTTTTCTTCTCTTAGTTGTTCATACCTTGTTTCACATCCCCATATAAGCCATCTGTACCCAAGTCCTTGTTTCATCTTCCATTTCAGGAAATACCAGGTTAATACAGAAACGCAAACTACAACAAATAAACATTCACATTTTAAAGTCAGGCAACAAAACTTTATGCCTTTCAGAGCATAATGCTTTCTGACTTCAAAATATAAGACTTCATGCTTGGCCCTTCTTTATTAAGAACTTACTTAAATCAGCATATCTTTGCATGGGACTTCAAATCCTTTCATTTAAGGCAAGTTTTACAGCCAATATTAACGTTGGTGTACCAGTACCCTGTTCTTAAACTGGCTAAAGCAGCCTCAAAATTCCCAAAGGGAATAATGAAAATTCCTAACATCCTTGGCAGGAAAACAGTTGGAAGTTTAAATCAAGCTAATTGTTTTGGCTAATATGTTTTTAATAAAATAAATATTAAATTAATAATAAAAAAGATTTCAAGCTATTTACAAAGAGAAAGGAAGGGAGGGGTTGCAGAATGCCCAACTATAAGAAATGTTGCTTGGAAACTACTCAAGAAGATGCATTTTTGAGAGCCAGGAACTCTGCTCTCCTTCATTCTGCAAGAAAGGGATAATGCTTCTATTCAAGACTTCTCTGAAAAGCCTCCAACCGTCAGGGGGCTGTGGACAAAATATATTTTTAGTTTTAGCTTGCATACTGAAATAGTTTTTAATTTTTTCAAATTTTGAAGTGATTTTTAAATAGCTTAAGAGCTTGCAGTTATTGTTAACATTTAAAGGTGCTATATTCCAGGTATTGGGCTATGAGCTTTATAAGTATTATTTAATTTAGTTTGCTTTTCACAGCAACTCTAAGAGGTAGGCATTGTTATTATCTCTGGCTCATAGATGGAGACACTGGACTTCACAGAGTTAAACATAAGTTGCCCTGACCCATACAGCTGTTAAGTAGAGAGGCTGAAGATGGAATGAAAGCCAGGTCTGGCAACTACAAAGCTCAGGCCCTTGAATTCTAACCTTAACCACTTGCAATTTAAAATGTCTGAAAGAAGAAATATAAACTAATTTTAAAATACGTGATGAGAAAATTTTCCTGTTGCTGAAGGAAAACCTGGTATGTGGATTGAAGTAGTTCACATTCTATAAGAAGCAACATAAGGAACAGGCACCAACACCTAGGCATAACCTGGAGATGTAAGACGTGTAAGGACAAAGGTGGGACACCCAGATTGCTTAAAAGGAAAAGCACTCGGGCTAGGTCTAATATCTGTCAGTTCCTGTGGGCCTTAGTTCCTGCTATTTTCTCTTCCTGTAACTCTCCCTCCTGTCACATGCCACCTGATTCTCTTGGCTTGATGAACTCTTGTTCATTTTCCCAAAATTCCAAGGGGATCTTCCTGATTCCATATACCAGTTAAGTGTCTTCTGTGCATTTTTCTGTATCACCCTCTACTAACCCTCTGCTGGCACTCACCACTGCATAATGTCTATTTAATTTAATTATTCTTACTATTAAAATGTGCACATTTTGAAGGCAAAGAACTTGATTTTACTAGTCTTTATTATATCTCCACCAAGAACAAGATCTACCTCACTACAGACTATCTATAAATATTTATTGAGTAAATTGATAACATATGATAAAGTTATTCTATGAATAGTTCTGGGATAAATAACTGAATTTAATGAAAGTAAATTTGAATCTCTACTTCACGTCATTCACCAACATAATTTCCACATGTATTATATACACATTTAAGATAAAAAACTAGAAGGTAATATAGATAAATATCTGATATCAGATTGGTGAACACCTATTCAAGCATAAGAGTATAAGCAACATGATATCATGATTCTTGACCCTTTGAAAATATCAGAACTGGTTGAAATCTATTGAACCTGATAAAAGCTTCAGATTCAACGCCTAAAAAAATGCTTACTTGTACACCTACTTCTAATATTTACATGCATCTCTGAAAGTTTCATGGACAATTTGAAGCTCTTCAAGAGAATTCTGAACAAATTTAGCCAAAGAGAAAAAAATTTATATACTTATCTACATAAAAGTGAAAACCCCTGTATGTCAAAAAGTACATGAACCAAATTGGACAGAAATGAGAAACCTGGAAAAAAATATTTGAATGCTATGTGTCAAACACAGATATATTGTCTACACATGTGAAAAGCTCTTATAAATCAATCAGGGAAAGATGAATACTCCAAATGAAAAACTAAAGAAATGAAAAGACAATTCACAAATGCCAATAGACATAGAAAATATGTATGTTTTATCAACGTCAAAAAAGCTCTGGAAGCCTGGAATCTCATAGGAAGATGGGTTCTTTTGTTTTCTTGAATCACGCTGACAGGCTAAGAAAAGAAGACTTGTAGTATAAAAGGAGTAAAAATCTACAGAGATAAGTGACTTTTTTTTTCGGGTTCCTGTTAAGTTTTTTATTTACCTTGGCCCCATGTTTTGTTTCATTTCTTGAAACACGGATATTTAGTTGTTTCAGCATCATTAATTGAAAATACCACACTTTCTTCATTAAATTATCTTTGAATCCTTGTCAAAATTTAGTGGTATGACTCTCTATCTACATATTCTATTCTCTTCCACTGATCTCTGTGTATGTCCATTTGCCAATACCATACTTTTATGATTAATGCAACTTTTAGTAATCCTTGAAAATAGAGAGTGTAAGTCCTTCAACATTGTTCTCCCTTTCAAAATTATTTTGAGTATTCTAGATCCTTGGATTTTTCATATAATTTTTAGCTTCAGCTTGTCAATTTTAAGAAAAAAATCCTACTGAGACTTTGATTGGGATTGTTTTCAATTCATAGAGCAGTATGGGAAGAAGAATTAATGTCTTCACAATATTGAGCCTTCCAGTTCATCAGCACAGTATATCTCTTGTTTAGGTCTTTTAAAAATTTCTTTCTCAGTGTTTTGTAATTTTCAGCATACAGATTGTAAATATGTTTTGTTAGATTTATACCTATGTATTTCAAGGTTTTGGTACTATTTTAAACTGTCCTGCTCTTAAAATATTGATGTGTAACATTAATTTAAATGGAGAAAATACAGCCCTTTCAACAAATGGTACTATAATGTTTGGATCTCCATGAACAAAAAAAATAATGCCCCTCCACCCATACCTTTCAACGTATATAACAATAATCTTTAAATGGATCATAGACCCAATATAAAACCAAAAACTTTCAAACTTCCATAAGAAAACATTGGAGAAAAGTTTTGTGCCCTTGGATTATGCAAAGATTTCTTATAGATGAAAACATGATCATTAAATGAAAAAATAATTAATAAACTGGACTTTAGCAAAATTATACACTTCAGCTCTTTGAAAGACACTCTTAAGAGAATAAAAAGAGAAGCCACAAAAATAATAGAAGATATTCTAAAAGCACATATCTGTTAAAGTACTTGTATCCAGTATATATAAGTAACTCCTAAAACTCAAGAATCCAAACAATCCAATGAAAAAAAAATGGGCAAAAGGTTTGAACTGATAAATCACCAAAAATATATGTTGATAAACAAGAACATGAATAGATGATCAACATCATTAGTCATTAGTGAAATGAAAATTAAAATCACATGATACTATATTTACATCCTCATCAAAATGGCTAAAATAAAAATCTCTGAGAATACTGACATTTAGTTTGGCTGTGGAGCAACTGCCATTCTCTCGTACATTGCTGGTGAGAATGCAAAGTGCAGCTACTTTGCTAAACAATTTGACAGTTTATTTTAAAATTAAACCTATATTTACAATAAAATTCAGTAATTCCATTTGTATTTACCCTAGTGAAATAAAAAGCTATATTCACACAAAAAATCTGTACACAAATGTCTCCAGCAACTTTATTCTAAATCACCCCAAGGTGCAAACAACACAAACATCCTTCATCCGAGTAATGGATAAACATACTGCAGTGCACCTGTGCAATGGAAGACCATTCAGCAAAAAAACCAGATGAAGTAATGACACGTGCAACAACACAGATGAATCTCGAATGCATTATGGAAATGAATGAGGCCAGGCTCAAAGGCTACACACTCTATAATCCCATTTATATGGCATTCTGGAATAAGCTAAGCTACAAGATCAGAAAACAGACCAGTAGCTGGTAAGGTCTGGAGCAGGATGTGTAGTTGACTAACCAGCGTATGAGGGAATTTAGGGGATGATATTTTTATTGTGGTGGTGGTAATGGTTACACAACCATATGAACTTTACACTAGTGTACATTAGAAAGGGTGAATTTTACTGTATGTAAATTATATCTAATTTTGAAAGTATTAGAGAAATCTCTCCAACCAGTTCAGAACCTTACATTTGATCCTTTGCTGATTCTAATTCTGTACATTGGAAACCAGCAAGTCAGTTGTAAACTGCTAAACGGAGGGGATTTTTGTGGGAAAGAGAAGACGAAGTCCTCTCTGTACTAACCATATGGAATAATGTGTTTATTATTAAAAATCAAACAAGCAAACAAAGAATCTACAACCCTATAGCATATTTAAATCTCCCATGCTGCGTGGCTATCATTCTGACTTTATTTCGTTTTCTTCGTAGTGGGGTGTTGGTTCTTCAAAAAGTAAATCCAGCTATACTCCTCCCTTAGAATGAACAATTTCAAACTATTTTAACCTTCTCATTAAGGCTATTTTTACAGTGGAGAATTGCTACATTAAAGGCTACATAAAATGTATGATGTCAGTGAGTTATATTAACCCTCTGTGAAATATGCTGCAACAAATTTCATTTTACAGAACTCTGGCCTCTTGAGATTTAAATCCAGCCCAAATGGAATTTTTTTATTTAAATCAGGGAACTCTTTTCAACTGAGACTTTCCATAGTCAGCTTATGGCACAGTTTATCATATAGTTTATTAACCACGAAAACAATAAAGTAAAACAGAAGTACTAACAGACTCTTGTCTAGTGTTGACATCTGTAGATCCTTTGTGCAGGAGAAAAGATGCTGAAGCTATCGCTTTACTTTTCACACAGCTGGTGTGGGGATGGGAATTTAACAAGTAGCGAGGGCTGAGAACTCGCCAGCACTACCCAAGTCAACTCAATGCCTGAAAGTGTTGTGGAGTAACTCTCACCTCTCCTCGCTGAATCCTGGGAAATCCTAAAACCCAAGTGTTCTGTCACTCTGCTTTTCCATTACCCTTAGATAAAGTTCAGAATCTTTTCATGATTTCTAAGGGTTAAGTCATGCTACTGCCCTCTCACACTCCAGTCACTTGGGCTTATTTTTCCAATCCTCCAGGCTCAACACCACCACTTCCTGGCCTACATATACGGACAGTAAACCATCCTTGTAAACTGGCATTACTGATACATAAAATTGCAAATAATGTATTGCCTCAGATCTAAGTCACATTTTAAAAATGAGTGCATGACATCATATGTATGAGGGTGTCTCTAAATCACCCAGTGGCAGCTCAGGAATATTGGAACTGTGACTGTGGCTTCCTCTCCATATGCAGAATGCTGTGCCTCTTGGGGCAGCTGGTACTCTAAGGTAAACACTGAGGAGGGGGCTTTGGCACACAGCTGGTGAGCTCTGACTTTTTGAGAGCTTTAGTAATGGTTTTGCCCTGAGCAATTTTCCATGGGATTAGTGGGGTTTGGAACCAGTTGATGTTTTCTGAGGGCACACTGGAGTAAAAACACACAAAAATATAATTCTTGGAGATAGATTCATTGAGAGCTTGGCATTTGCCCCATAAGAACTAGAAAGTATATTTGAAATCTGAGACTATATTGTGCTAATAGAGGCATATTGAACACATTTGTGTATTTCTTTAAAAGGAGCATAATGGCACTGTTTATTATTCTTTGTCTGAATCACATTTTAAGGTGACTTTTCATTTGCTCTCTATTTTTCTTTATTTGAGTCGGTAATTGGACACAGCAATTCTTTTGTAGCTAAGGCTTCCTCTATCAATAGGCAACTGTGTCTGAATGTCATTTACTTTCAAACCAAAAAAAGGCATCAAGCACTTTGTCTAGCAATGAGAGCAAATTTGGTTAAAAAGTTGGCAATCGTTCCTACCACTAAACGCATTCTCTGTATGAATTATAGGGGAGAGAGCCAGAAAATAGCAGAGAGAGCACATAGTTCAGGTGGAGGAGATCTTTTTGAGCTGAGACCACAGTAGTCATTGAGTGTCCTGTTATTTCTTGATGGACTGGGTATTTTAAAATGTAAAAGCCTCTGTAGGTCACCTAATTCATTAGCTGGATCCTAAAAATTTTTAGGAAGGAAAAGTACCATTGAAAGAGAAACTATGACTTAATAAAGCTTTCATAGCCTTTAAAATGTCTCTATTCTGTATGGATGTTCTATATCTGAGCTGTGGTATATGATCAAATAAATAAAAAGGGATGTTTAAAATGGTACTTCCTTGGCATGTTCATCAGTTTGGCCTATCAGACTAGGGAAGAGATCGAAAATTGATCAAATGGCCATATTATTCTATCACTTTCATTACACAAGGGTAGATGCATTTTATTATCTGTTTCAACGTTTTCAATGGCCAAAGCAGGATATTTGCATGCATTACGATTAATGATTAGTCTGCATTGGCCACAGATTGGTAAATATGTCAAACACAAAGTGAATTTTTCCCAAAATTACCACTCAGGAAAGAGGGAATTGTATTATATTCAAATCACTTCAAAACTTGTGCAGTGATGACATTATTTTGAACAACAAATTGTTTAGCTACTCAGGAGGCTGAGGCAGGAGAGTTGCTTGAACCTGGGAGGTGGAGGTGGAGGTTGCAGTGAGCCGGATTGTGCCATTGCACTTCAGCCTGGGCGACAGAGCAAACTCTGACTCAAAAAAAAAAAAAAAAAAAAAAAAAAAAAAAAAAGAGAAAGAAACATTAACTTAAAATGATCTCAGTGAAGTCTAGTATTGAGTGCATATGTAGGTTATCTGTTGGAATTCCCTGAAAGACAACACAAATTTAGCAAAAGATCACAGTGCTCATGGAAGCACATTTTTAAAAATTCATTTTTAAACAAATGTAATAGAATCACATGGTACAACAGTCAAACTATTTTAAACAGTATACAGTAAAACAAAGAAAATCTCCCTCCCACTCTTGTCCTCCAAACATCCAGTTCCCTTCCCTGGAGACAACTGATGTGGCCATATACACAACATGGTAGAGATCTTAAAAAGCATACAGTGCATGGGTAGGTTGTATACACAGGATGAATGGAACCATCAAATGTCCTAATGTCCTGAAAATGAGTTGCTTGGGGCTTGGAACTGAATTTCTAGGATATCCTACAAAGATCCCAAAAGTGCAGTATCACACATATCAGTTGGAAGTGAGGAATGTGCCTGAAACAGCTGCGCTAGAAGATATGAACTCCTACTGCTTATAAATTGTGCATAGTGAAATTATTCATTCACTACTTTTTTGAGACGGAGTCTCGCTCTGTCGCCCAGACTGGAGAACAGTGGTGCGATCTTGGCTCGTTGCAAATTCTGCCTCTCAGGTTCAAACAATTCTCCTGCCTTAGCCTCCTGAGTAGCTGGGATTACAGGCAAACGCCACCACACCTGGCTAATTTTTGTATTTTTAGTAGAGACAGGGTTTCACCATGTTGGTCAGGCTGGTCTCGAACTCCTGATCTCATGATCTGCCTGCCTTGGCCTGCAAAAGTGCTGAGATTACAGGAGTGAGCCACCACGCCCGGCCTCATTCACTCCTTAACTAAATACACTGAAAAACTACTATATGTCAGGAACTGCAATAAGTATCAGAAATAAAATTGTAAACAAAAAGGAGATATGTCCTGACCTCATGAAGCTTACTTTTTAAAGGAGTTGTCTAAAATAAATTAGAAATTTAAAAGACTGAAGGAAAAGCTCTGAAAATGGGCAAAAATATTAAAAATCTATATAAAGAACTGCAAACAAACCCTTGGTGCAACAACATTGCCATTATTTAAAACATTAATAATTATTATTTCTTTAACTAAGTTGTCATTTTGATTAAAGTACTGGGCCATCTAGCATAGTTTTCACCAAGCTGCTATTTTGGCCCAATCATTTAGAGCTATTCAAATATAAGGCATTATTACAAATAACTTTAGTTTATATTTTTTTCTCCTCTGTATAGCTTCTTATACATTTTCAGCCTTCATGATATTGTGTTAAATTTAGGCTAATCTGCTTCTCTTTCCCTATATGAGGGGGCAATGTTTTGTCATCTTAGTATTTCCAGCTTTTATCGTATCAACGCACTTGTCACATAACACTTAGTAACCACTGGCTGAAAGAGTGAGTAAGTGGATAATAATACTAAACATTGCAATCTGTGTTTTGTGATCTCACCTATTCACAAAGGATGCCTTTTTGCTATTCAGTCAAGTTGCTTCTGGCCTCATTCTCCTTGGAATAGGTGATGTAAATGGAATGCCTTTATTTCTCACAACTAATGAGCCATCCAGTCTCTGTTCATTGCTATGACTTTTTAAGTATACATTTGCAGGGGATTCAATAACCATTTGGAAATGTAATTATCATGTTTTCCAGCTACACAAATACATAAGGGATAGATTTATTTATGTGCTTAGGTATATAATACGTGTCCTGTTATTTTTTTTTTTTTCACCTACAATTTTCCCTTTTTCGGCAAACATTTCTGGGGCAAAGAAGGTTAGATTCTATTTTCAGTCACTGTCCATCAAAGGGAACCTGGAGCAAATGTGCATATACCCCAAGAGCACCTTTCTCGCAGGCCCTGGGTGATGACTCACTATTGTTTACAACAGGATTTTCCCTCATGTGAAGCAGGTGTTGAAACATTTGGACAGCTCTCTAAAAATCTTAGTGAAATGCAGTGAGTGTGAATCAGCAGTCTGCATGTTTTTTGAAAGTGCTTTTGGTCCTCTAAGCCACCTTCAACTTGCAGAGTAACCTTTTCTTCATGGTTCCATTGACCTATTGTCCCCTCCTGACTTGTCACCTTCACTCAAACCTCATATGCTACACCCAACCAATGATCCTCACCTCGGTTCACCAGCATCTCTCCTTTTTAGTATTCATCCAGCTCCCCATACTTCCCAACAAATTCCACCATTGAGTAAAAGTGAAGTGGCCATTTCTCTTAGTCACTGTGTAGTCTGAGCATGCTGCCCTGGGGTGTTTTCTGTATATGGTGCCATTTCTTAGTGAATCACAGGAGTAGGCAGGTGGGGAGCAAGTAGGTCCTCAAGAAAATGCAGGTTTGTTATAGCTAGATACCTCTTGGCCAACTCCAGCCTAAATCACTGAAGTATTGTATACTTCTATTCTCAACTACTAATAAAGACACACCCAAGGCTGAGTAATTTATAAAGAAAAATAGGTGTAAGGGCCTCACAGTTTCACATGGCTGGGAAAGCCTCACAATCATGGCAGAAGGGGAAGCAAACGTGTCCTTCTTCACATGGTGGCAGGCAAGGGGGGAAAAGCCCTTTATAAAACCATCAGATCTCAGGAGAACTCACTCACTATCACAAGAACAGCAGCATGGGGGTAAACACCCCCAAGATTCAATTACCTCCCACCGGATCCCTCCTATGACACGTGGGGATTATGGGAACTACAATTCAAGATGAGATTTAGGTGAGGACACAGCCAAATAGTATCGAGTAAGTAATGACAGGACTTTTAAAAAAGAACAAAATACTAGTATTGTTTCACAGGGTTTCCTGGAAGCACAATGTATTCTCCACTTCTCTCCTTGATTGTCTTACTCTTTTTATAAGTTTATATAATACCACTGAAGCTCATGATCAAAATTTGCTTTGATGGTTAGAATATGATGTTAAATAAGAAAACAGGGGAAATATACCAAATCATTCTACTTCAGAAGGTCACCCCAAATCTCTAAATCCTTGTCTGTGTATTCTGGCAAGTCCTCCAAAAGCAGTAGAAAAATCAGTAACTGGTGGCCCAAGAAGAGATATACTTGCAACAATTAAAAAATCTGAAAATATCAAGCATTGATGAGGATATGAAGCAACTAGAATTCTCATTCTTTGCTTGTAGGTGTATCAGTGGGTGCCATCACTTTGAAACATAGTTTGGTGTTGTCTAATAGAGTTGAATGTAACATACATTCTCTGTGACTCAGCAATCTCACATTCAGGTATATCCTCCAGAGCCATGTAAGCACATTTGTGCCAAGGTTTCCAGACAAGAGTCTTCATAGCACCAATTCTTAGTAGTACCCCCAAACTAGAAATAACCCAAACATCCAATACTAATGGAATAGATAATTAGGATAGATCATTTATTTTGGTATATGAACACAATGGAAATGAATGAACTGCATCTACCTGCAACAAAATGAAAGCATTTAAGAACATAATGCTGAGCGAAAAGACCCAGAAACATAAAGAGACTTAGTGTGCTACCATTTCTGTAAACTTTAATTCATCCAAAACTCAGCAGTATTGTTTAGGGAGGCGTATGTGAATGGTCAAGTTTACAAAAATTAGCATTTGGGAGGAAATATTTTGGGAGAATTTGGAAGGAAATACCCTCACAGAAGATAAGGTAGTGGTTACTTAACAAAAGAGAGTTATGATAAGGGAGGGTTTCAAGGGGAGTTTCCAGGGTGCTGAACTGATAATGTCCTATTTCATGATCAGATACTAGAAACACAGGCTTTATCTTTATATTTGTTAAACTTGGATATTACTTTACATTATTCTCAGCATTCTATTTTCAACTTAAAAATTAAAAAGAAATGTGGAAGCCAATGCTGGTTTAAGCAGGGCAAGGTGGTGGACTGTGAAGAATGGATTGAAGCATAATTCACTCCCCTGGGGAGTACTCCCTTTGGCTGTTTCAACACATGAATCTCAGCTAATGAATCCCCAGAAATGCCTTGACTAAAAAAAGCTTCCTTGTGTTTCAAAGTATATCAACCCTAACATCTACTAAGTTTGGGGGTAATATAGTTTGGCTGTGCCCCCTTCCAAATCTCATCTCAAGTTGTAATACACATTGTAATCTCTACGTGTTGAGGGAGGAACCTGGTGGGAGGTGAATGGATCATGGGACAATTTCCCTCATGCTGTTCTTGTGATAGTGAGTGAATTCTCACGAGATCTGGTTGTTTGATAAGTGTTTGGGGCTTCCCCTTTCTCTCTCTCTCTCTCCTGCCATCATGTAACATGTGCCTGGCTTCTCTTTCACCTTCCGCCATGATTGTACGTTTACTGAGGCCCCTCCAGACACGCGGACCTGTGAGCTGTTGGTCAATTAAACCTCTTTTGTTTGTAAATTACCCTGTCTCAGGTAGTATCTTTATCATACTGTAAGAACGAACTAATACAAGGGGGTAACAGTCAAATTCATGTGTTTTCCAGATTGCTTACTATCATCATCTCCCACCAGAAAAGATATTCTGGTTGACAACAGTAATAACAGATCAGGAGTGAACCTGACTGCCATAAAACACCTCTGGGCTATCTCTTCCCTGTGGCAAAAAATTATGGGGACTTAGTAGGGAAACATCAGTAAAAAATATCTACTTGTTAATCCTTGATCTTAAGTCATTGCTTGTATTTTTGAGTAAATTGCTATGCATGTTTGTATGGATAAGTGTAGATATTTCTATTTTGTATTTTTCAACTCCTGTATTTGGGGACATGCATGAAATTTCTTGTTGCATTCCTTAGCAGAGAATATAGCTAGGTATATTTTTAAAGTCTTCATCTAAATTAATCTTTACTCTCAGATAACACATTTGCTCAGAGAACATGCAAGAAAACTTTGAGTAGGAGGTATCTAGTGGTTGTTGGCCATAGCTGATTTGACTGCTCTGCCTGTGGTTTTGCAGAAAGCTTTCATGTATTCAGCATACAAATTGTGTGATGAGCTCAAGTCGGCAAAAGTGGCCAGGGTCAAATAACTGAATCTGTTTACTTTGTGTGAGTACTGGTGACCATTTATAAATTTAATTAATAATTTGATGTCTAATTTTATAGTTTGTTAATAAGAAGAACACATGTACACACTTACACTCACCACTGATGAACAATTTAGGGAAAGGTATCCTTTTCTTCCCTGTGGGAAATATGTAAAACTAATATATGGCTCCTAATTTTGGAAAACAAAAAGTGATTTCCAAGAAGATACCCAAGATACCATTCTTGCCCTTGTTTTGCTGACAGAAGGATCCGGAATTCTTACACAGTTAAAGAACTGGTCCACAGTCAACCTGTCATTCCAGCACATGCCCCAGGTCTCTGTCTCCAAGGATTTCTTCATGCTTTTGCTTCCATCTTAATTCTTTCTCACCCTTCCCTGGCAAGTTCAAATTCTACTAATCCTTCAATGTCCTTCAATGCTCAGGTCAAATGTGTTTGAATTCATGAAGACATGTCTCTTCCTACTAGTTGGAAATACATGTATTTTCCTTTTCATTTCTATAGCACTTTGGCTAACTCATATAATCACTTTTACGTTTTATCTGCCCTATTAGATTGCATCATTGAAGGCAATGACTATGCCCTTTTCTTTCTTGATCTTCAAAGCACCTTACACATAGTAAATGCTGAAGAATGTTTGTTGAGTGAATGATTAAGCCAAAGATGTATCTGAAATGAGTAGGAGTATGTACCCTATGAAGATGAAATCATGACCCATCATAGAGCTAAATCCACAATCATGAAACTGAACTATGGTTCTGGAGCCAATGTGACCTGTGGACACTATTGTTGAGTTCATCCTTGTGAACTGTAAAATCTGCATTTGTCCCTGTTTCCTGGCACACAGCTCCTAAAATCCTTGGAATCTCTAAGGTGATGAGTGTTTTTTGTATACTAATGAGATGACTGGTGGCTTGGACCCCCTAGGTAGCTTTAGGATGAGGGCTGGTCACTGGAAAGACTAAGGCATTATTAGAGGGTTGGGACTTTCAGCTCCACTCTCCAAGGGGTTGAAGGTCGAATTGACACCAATGACCAATGATATAATCATTCATAGCTAAGTAATGAGACCTTCATAAAAACCCAAAAGAACAGGATTCAGTTGAGCTTCCAGAGAGATGAACATGTCGAGGCTCCTGGAGGGTGGCACACCTGGAGAGGGCATGGAAGTTCCTTGCCTCTTCTCCCATACCTCACAATGAGCACCTCTTTCATCTGGCTGTTCGTTTATATCCTTTGTAATATTCTCTCTAATGAATGGGTTAATATTGGCAAAGTGTTCTCCTGAGTTCTGTGAGACTCTAGCAAATTAATTGAACCCAAGAAGGGGGTCTGTGGAACCTGACTTATAGCTGGTTGGTCAGAAGTACAGGTGGAAACCTGTGCCTGCAAGTGGGACCTGAAGTAGGAGGCAGCCACAGGGGACTAAGCCCTTAACCCGTGGGATCAGCTGCTATCTCCAGGTAAATAGTGCCAGAGTTGAATTGAATTAGAGGACACTTAGCTGATGTCTGCTGGAGGGTCTGCCACAGAATTGGTTGTTGGTGAGAAGAAATCTTCACTCATTTTGATGACAAGAGGTGATCTATATTGAGATATAGAGTAGGAAAAACACTGGTTCTTTCTTTGTCACAGTTGATGTCAGAAGTGTGATGAGTATGACTGTGTAAGACAAAAGGAAAAACCACTTTTGGGTTTTTCTTATTTCTTACAATCATTTTCACAGGATCATTCTTTTGTTGACAAGGTTCAGCCACATTTAGTAGATTCCCTTGTTTCTGTTCTGCCTTCGTTGGGCTTTCTCTAGTTAATTGAGTTCTTCTCACTTATGACTTTGGTTCACGTGTGGTTTTGGTTTGTCACAGCCCTGCGAGCCTTGATTCTGTCTCATGACATCTTCCCTTGAACTTTCTCTTCCAATGGGTAAACACATTTTGTATTTCTTGTTTCTTAATTCAAATTTAATTGACAGGGAGAATTTGGTTAAAATAGCTCTATTGGAACTAAGCCATGAAAAATAGGTAACAGGTGTGTTTGTAAGTTTGTCACCCTGGGACATCTCCTCCCTCAGAATCTCATCAACAGGGTCAGGAGCTGTGGGAGGTGTTGGTGGTGTGAGCAAGCTATACATAGTAATCATCTCTAGCCCAGTCCTCAAATATATACATCCAGTCCAGACTCATTTCTGAGCTTGAGTTCTGACTTCCTATGGCCCATTGGACCTTTACTCCTGTGTGTTGTAGAGCTGTCTCAGTAGCAGTATGTCTAAGACTGACTTCATTATGGTTACCACTCAACAAATGGACTCTACTTTTTTATTCTCTATTTTGGCACCAGAACCTAGTCTTTATGACAAGCTTTCCTCCTTTTTCAGACACCATTACTTTTTTTTTTTTTTTTTTTTTTTTTTTTTTTCTGAGACGGAGTCTCGCTCTGTCACCCAGGCTGGAGTGCAGTGGTGCCATCTCGACTCACTGCAAGCTCCGCCTCCCGGGTTCAAGCTATTCCCCTGCCTCAGCCTTCCGAGTAGCTGGGACTACAGGCGCCCGCCACCACGCCTGGCTAATTTTTTGTATTTTTAGTAGAGACGGGGTTTCACTGTGTTAGCCAGGAATGTCTCCATCTCCTGACCTCGTGATCCGTCCGCCTCGGCCTTCCAAAGTGCTGGGATTACAAGAGTGAGCCACTGTGAGCGGCCATACTTTTTTTTTTAAAATACTTTAAGTTCTGGGATACATGTGCAGAATGTGGAGGTTTGTTACATAGGAATACACGTGCCATGGTGGTTTGCTGCACCCATCAACCTGTAACATACATTAGGACACCATTACTTTTTAAGGGAAATGTCCTTGTTGGTGTTCATAATGTTCCAGCACAAACAGTGAGTAATTGTTATTAGATGTTTTAAAGTGAGAAAATCAATATAGCCAATAAAATAAATTAAGGAGTATTTCAACAACCACATGTTTTTGACTAAATAAAAATACAAATTCTGTAGTTCACATACCTTAAAGTGGAAAACTATTTCAAAACAATCTTGAAATAAATTCTATTCAAGGGACTGGGGTTTGTTTTTTGTTGTTGTTCAGTTTGACAATAGCATGTCGGCACATTAACTCTCTTGAAAATTTAATTTAAATGAAGCACAATGGTAATGAAAAGGATTGATACTCTAAACCGCTCAAAATTTTTGTATAAAATCATAGCTGTGAAAACCATTTATTTTGAGAATGGGTTGACACTTCCAGGAGTTTTCCAGCTAAACTCAGCACTGACAATTTTCGAGTTACCATATATGAGCAAGAACTGTAAGCAAATTGTTAACACTTAATTTTTTAAAACAACCAGTCTGCAACTGAGTATAAAGAATGTGTCCATGTCCCTCTAAGACATGCAAATTTCTTATTTTTATCAAGTACATTCTGGAATGACTGTGTACCTTGAATTGTGCCCAATACATTCAATAGCGAAAATCCAGCATGTTTATCCAAGGTCAAAATCTGCTTTCAGCTCCAGAACAGCATCAGAGTTAACCTTTTTCATCACTATTTTTTGAAGCTTTTGAGAGCTATTGTGGGTTACGTGGGATTTCAGGAAAGCTGAAAGTGTAAGAGATTTATTTAGGCATTAATCCTTCTCAAGCTAGGTCATATAAAATCACAATCTAAAAATGTTGAAATATTATAATAGAAATCAAACTATCACGAAAACTGAGATTGATTTTGAATTTAGACAAAACGATAGCATCATTCAGAACAAGTACTCAGAAGAAGAGCTACGGGAGGCTAAGCATCAAATCTTGGGTATGTTTATTATTGAATGAAAGTGATATCATTTTGAAGGTGGTTAGATTCTCCACTGGCAGCGGTTCAGATTGGTATATTCAAGTCAGAGGTGCACAAGAAAAACACCATTGTTTCTCAAAAGTGTAGTCTGTCACCTGAAGAAAATATCAGACAAGAGTGCTGGACCAAAATTAATTAATTAAATAATTAAAATGGCCACTCAAATTCTCCACTAGGAATTTACACTTTAATCTTCCCAGAATTGTCTTATGCATGTAAAACAAACATGAGGTTAGGTACTAGGTTAGGTGAACCTTGGCACAGGTCTGTTGAGCTTTCCTGATTATTATAGCTCAGGAATGTCAGGGGCAGGCAGATAAGCAAATATTAAAGCTACAAAATTTATAAGATAATGGAAATTGTAAAACTCAAGATTTGGAGAGACAATTTCCTTTTAATGAAAATTGTAAAACTCCAATAATTGGAGAGACAATTTCCTTTTAAAGACATTTGCTTTGATAGGTATAAATAACACTTGTCATTACATGTGATACCTGCATGCCACTGCCACATGTTCCCTAGAAAACACTGATGATCAATTTCTATCCAAAGCATGAAGGAGAACAGTGTTATTTTGGGAAGATGGTTTCATAGATCTGGTTTTGAACCAGTAATCTGAGTGTCCCAAATCTCCTCCAAGAGACACATTAGACAGAAGATAATTTCATCAGTTTCTCACAAAACCACCTCCATTAGAGTGTATGGACACTTGGATATGTGTCTTTATTAAAGGTTACTGGAAGAAACAATGTTAGGGGCTCCAAGATATTCCAAAATTTTGCCCAAAATACATGTGAAACTGTGTGATCTAGAGTTTAAGTAGTGGTTCTCAAAATGTGATCTGGGTTCCTGAGACTTTTTGAGGGGTAAACCACGTCAAAACTATTTTCATAGGAACACTGAGATGTTATTTGCGTTTCACTCTCATTCTCTCGTGAGTGCAGGGCAGAATTTTTCAAAGAATACATGGCATGGTATGTCATCACTTTGACAGCAGTGGAATAAAGCTTTGATATTCTTGTGTTTTCTAGGATTTTCTAAAGGAGTGGGTTCAAGGTGTATGTGCATTTTCAAATATTAACTATTTTTTCTCAGTATTTCTTCTACGCTGTTATGATACTTCTTTGGCTATGATCTCTGTATCCTCATTATGATCCAATAAATTGTTATTTTGAAATCCTGAAGTTTTCTTTGTATGCAGAAACACATCAAGAATAAACTTTGTTGTCTTAGATGGTAATAGTACTTTTGAGTTGTTTTTGTAACATTTTCTAAATTTAAAAATCTTATATAAAACTGATATTTTAGAATTTTATAAGATCTTATTTTAAACTGAATGAATGACATACTATAAGTAAATCTATATTTAGTGGTAGATTAGTGAGTTAAACTAAAAGACTCACTTTCTCAACCCATGGTTATACCACCTATGTCTCAATATGTTGAAAAAGATGAAACTGTCATATCCTAGGGTTCTCTTGACTCATGGAAGGAAGGAATAGACACCAAGAAAACCAGTAAAACTGTAAATAAGAAATAAAATATGATAAGCTGTCTTTCCTGTCTTTATAGATGCTAATAATTTACTACAGACCACTGTAAGTATAAAAAGAAAAAAAAGAATTTACTTTTTTTTGTGTGTTTTGTGCAACAGAACCTTTCAGAATAGTATTATGGTGCCAATTAAGTTACAGCATCATTTTGAATTAAATAAGAAGGAGGGGGAGGGGGAATTGGAATTTTTTTTTCTTTTTTTTTTTTTTGACAGAGTCTGGCTCTGTCTACCAGGCTGGAGTGCAGTGCCGCGATCTTGACTCACTGCAACCTCCACCTCCTGGGTTCAAGCGATTCTCCTGCCTCAGCCTCCTGAGTAGCTGGGATTACAGGCATGTGCCACCATGCCCAGCTAATTTTTGTATTTTTGGTAGAGACGGGGTTTCACCATGTTAGCCAGGATGGCCTCAATCTCCTGAACTTGTGATCCGCCCGCCTCGGCCTCCCTAAGTGCTGGGATTACAGGCATGTGCCACCATGCCCAGCTAATTTTTGTATTTTTGGTAGAGACGGGGTTTCACCGTGTTAGCCAGGATGGTCTCAATCTCCTGACATAGTGATCCGCCCACTCGGCCTCCCAAAGTGCTGGGATTACAGGCATGAGCCACCACGCCCGGCCAGGAATTAGATATTTTAAAAATAGACAAGATAACCTCTTTAGAGACCAAAAAAAGTTATAACTTTTCAAACTAGAAGTGAAAAAGCCACTGAGGTATTTAAAGGCTAAGTTACATGTTGCATTGACTGAAGGAACACACATGGTAGCTGAGACACCAATAAAGCTTTGCATTGTTTACCTTGCTGAGTGCCTGCTGCATGAAAAGTTAGTAAAAGGAATCTCTGCAGTGACATTTTTCAGGAATACAGAAACACGTGCCATTACAGTTTTAGTTGTAAACATGAAGAATATGTCAATATATCATCTGCAGCATCAGGAAGATTAGCTAATGAATGCTAGGTTTAATACCTAGGTGAGGAGATGATCTGCGCTATGAACCACCGTGGCACATGTTTACCTACATAACAAACCGGCACATCCTGCATATGTACCGCTGAACTTAAAATAAAAGTTGGGGAAAAATATGTTATCTACAGAATTGTATTTTGTCTTGTAGATGAGTCAATCTACTGACAGTATTAAACTTGGCGTTTTGCTTGTATTTGACCAGGGTGAACATCAACTCATTGTTGAAGATTTTCTTTTATATGAATTGGTGGCAACAAACACAAGTGGTTCTGAAATTTTCAAATTGTTGAATAATTCTTTTGAATCTCATGGTTTATCCTGAAACAACCTGAGAATGTCTTGTAACATTAGCATTAATTACTTTTCATTATTAGTGAAATTATCAATTGTATTCATCCAGACCTTGAGTCCACATCTTCTTACTTATCTAGGATATTCTCATGCTGGCTCTTCCATCTGCTGCTTCTCAGAAACTCTATCCCTGACAAGCTCTTGATCTGTTTACTCACTTCGTCTCCCTGATTGGTAAGTTTCTTACTTTTAAAATACACAAGCTAACTTCTGTCTCACAGAATTATGGTGGGGATAAAAGAAGACAAACATGTGACTTTTTTGTAAGTCAAAAGGCAATCTAAAAGTATTATTATAACATATTCTTTTAAAATCTGAACTAATCTTAGGGTCCCATCAGGCAGTAGAATTGAACCCTTGAAGTCCTTTATCCTTCCATCTAACTGGATTTACATAGTTTCATACTTAAAGATTCTGATCATAGTCAGAAATTAGATAGTAATTCCATGCGTTCTATACTCTGCCTTCTATAAATAAATTGTTTACAAGATGGCTCAAGAACGTATTTGCTATGCCTCTGGCCTGCCAATATCCTTCATCTCTACTTTATTCTAACTCTGTAACAGTTTTGAAGTGAAAAAGATAATCAATACTATCTATCTGCTTGGGGAGTTTTAGTGTATTAATACTTCCCCAATAATGTAATTTATGTGGCTTTTCCTTTTTATTCAAATCCAAATTAAAACTCAGCAGAAAGATTTTATTACCAAAACTCTGGATTTTTATGCAAGCTATACCTTATTTCCATGCGCCTTGCCTACAAATACATTCATCCTTTTGGAAGTAACCCCTTGGTTATCTGAATTGTGTATACTATACTTCTTGACTCATGCTTTCCCAAGGATTCCACCACACATTAACTCTTCTTTCTCCTGTTACTCTTCCGATGACCCTTTGTTTTATTTTGTTTTTTTCTGTTGTTGTTGTTGTTGTTTTGCAGACTCCTCTTCCTTTGCTCTTTGTCCAATGTATTGTCAATGTCATCAGACCTTGCAAAGTGCCTGTGAAGTAGTCATCATCTCCATCTTCAAGAATAAACAGAAGTTTGCTCCTTTTAATCAATAGGCACATGCTAAATGCTGAAGACATGATGATAAACAACAAACATGATCTCTGCTCTCTGATAGAACTTAGAATTTCTGGTGAGATATGAACCTTAATCAATAATCACCAAAAAAGCCAGAATATAATTGCACACAGAAATAAATGCAGTGAAGGCAACATGCATCGTTCAATAAGAATATATCAGCCAGGAGCCTGACCTAGATTTGGGGAGGAGGAACAAGGAGTGAGGAAAGATTATGCGGAGGACACTGACATTTGAAAAAAGAGTGAAGGCCGGGCACAGTGGCTTACGCCTGTAATCCCAGCACTTTGGGAGGCCGAGGCAGGCAGATCGCAAGGTAAGGAGACCATCCTGGGCAACATGGTGAAACCTCGTCTCCTGCCAAAATACAAAAAATTAGCTGGGCATGGTGGCACATGCCTGTAGTCCCAGCTACTCGGGAGGCTGAGGCAGGGGAATCGCTTGAACCCGGGAGGCAGAGGTGGCAGTGAGCCGAGATCATGCCACTGCACTCCAGCCTGGTGACTGGTGACAGAGCCACAGTCCATCTCAAAAAAAAAAAAAAAAAGCCGGCGCGGTGGCTCATACCTGTAATCCCAGCACTTTGGGAGGCCAAGGCGGGTGGATCACCTGAGGTCAGGAGTTCGAGACCAGCCTGACCAACATGGAGAAACCCTGTCTCTACTAAAAATACAAAATTAGCCAGGCGTGGTGGCACATGCCTGTAATCCCAGCTACTCAGGAGGCTGAGGCAGGAGAATCGCTTCAACCTGGGAGGCGGAGGTTGCAGTGAGCCGAGATTGAGCCATTGTACTCCAGCCTAGGCAACAAGAGCAAAACTCTGTCTCAAAAAAAAGGGAAAAGAAAAAAGAGTGAAACGTACCCTCATAGGTGATATGAGGCATTCAAGGAGAGCCGCAGGTGGAGGGACAAGCACATGTAAAGGATATTGTGACTAGAGGTAAAAGACTAAGGACGGGAGTGGTATAAGTTGAGGCTGCAGATAAAGGCAGAGGCTGTGCTGTGCAAGACTTCACAGGGCTGCCAAGGCTTCAAGTCTATTCTAAGCACAACAGGAAACCATGAAAGGGTTTCTTGCTGAGTCTTCAGGTTGAGGGGAGCCATGCTGTATGGATTAACATGGTAAGATTCATTTTGAAATGCATACTTGCAGTTATTTTAGTGCGTAAGCTTTCTCCTGGGTTCATCTGATATCTGACTCTAGATATAGATTTGATGACAGTGAAAGTAGAAGTGGGCCATGAGGGAAATTGGCCTGCCTCCCTTTGCAAACAGCTACCCTAGGTGAGTTTGTTATAGACTTTTAAGCAAATCGGCCTCATCAGACATAATATTTGGAGCTAGTGCTGCCCTAAGAGAGCGTCAGTGGGTTTTAAGTATTTGGGGATTTGAGGATTCAGTAAATCATTTAAATCTTCCCAAACATCCCAATTTCAATTCTCAGGGTCTGTTTCCCATTCAATGCCATGATTTTCTCTGGTTGTGAATTCATAAATTTATATAAATTCTTTAAATTCTGTCTGCAGTACAATTCATCCATCCGTATGATCAAATGTTGTTTGGTTTATGGCCAGAACAGCCTTGTGGATACAAGAGAAAATGTATTATCTTGCAAAAGTATAAAATGCTCCTGACTTTTTGACAGATTTTACCCAAAGATTTAAAATCTTGAGCTCATCATTGCTTTATTGTAGGCCCTCTGACATGATTAGAAGCAGCCATTCCACCCCAAAGCCCTTGTGTTCCTCAATATCTTCAGAATTGTTGTCAGAAGCCACTCATTTTTTCAGACTTTGCACTTCTTTCCATGCAGCTGCAGCTGAAATTTAAAGGCCACTTCGCCCCTGCTTGCCATGGACTATCAGCGTCCCATCCTGTCATGTGAACCAGGTCCTCACTTCCTTAAAACTCAACTACAAATTGGATTATGTTAAAATTAAGAAACCCTATTCATCAAAAAACAAAAAACAAAAAAAAAACCACTAGAAGAGTGTAAAGGAAATCCTCAGAGTGAAAGAAGATATTTGCACCAAATATAACCAACAAAGAGTTTGTGTCTTACTAGTCAGTAAGAAAAAGACAGATAACCAGGGAGTGAAATGATCAAGAAACTGGGTCACTTCAGAAAAGAGAATTTACAAATATCAGACCATTGTATGGAAAGATGCTCTACCTCATTAGACATCAGAGAAATGCAAATTGAAACTATGATGAGCTGTCACTACATACCCATCAGAATGACTAAAATTTTGAAAGAAAGACACAAGCTCAAAAGACTGTGGCTTGGTAGGAGTCAGCAAGAATATAGCATAACTAGGATTTTCATACACTGATGGTAAAAGTGTAACTTGGTATGATCACCTCAGAAAACTCTGGTATTGGCCGGGTGCGGTGGCTCACGCCTGTAATCCTAGCACTTTGGGAGGCCAAGGCGGGCGGATCACGAGGTCAGGAGATCGAGACCATCCTGGCTAACACGGCGAAACCCTGTCTCTACTAAAAATACAAAAAATTAGCCGGGCATGGTGGTGGGCGCCTGTAGTCCCAGTCACTTGGGAGGCTGAGGCAGGAGAATGGCATGAACCCGGGAGGTGGAGCCTGCAGTGAGCCAAGATCTCACCACCGCACTCCAGCCTGGGAGACAGCGAGACTCCATCTCAAAAACAACAACAACAACAACAACATATCTGGTATTATCTCCTAATGCTGAATATAAACATATTCTATGCCCTAGAAATTTCACTTCTACATATACATATATCCAGAAGAAATAAATACAAATATGCACCAAAAGGCATCTACAAAAAAGTACATTTCAGCATTATTCATAATAGTCAAGCAGTAAAAACAGCCTAAATGTCCATCGATTGTATAATAACTAGGAAAATACTGTGATGTGGTCACACAAAGGACTACTATACAGCAACGACAATTAATATGGCCATATACAATGTCAGTCAACATGATATTGAGAAAAAGAAGCTAATCACAACAGAGTATACATAATGCATGAGTTCCTTTATATAAAGTTTAAAAGGCAAACCTATCTTTGGTATTAGAAGTCAGGAGAGTACCTCTTGGGAAGAGACAGACAACCTAGAGATAAGTGCTTCTGGGTACTGGTAATGTTCTATTCCGTGGCCTGGGTGATGGTTACTTGGGAATCTGGGGACTCCTAAATTTATTTGTTTATTTATTTATTTTATTTTTTAACTGGCTCAGGTAACCAATCCTAGATTCTCATTTCCTTGAGAATCTGTTGCTTGCAGTTACTTCCCCTAACACTTAGCAATTCGATGTAAACAGAATTTACCCTGGCTAATTGAAGCATCAAGAGATTTGTAGAAAACATTGGGCAACTCATAGAAACTCCAGGAGGGCTGAAGAACCAAGCTAGGATGTTACACAGACGGGAACAATGCAATTGGGACTGCCTCTGTTGCCTGTGGTTTGCCAGTTTCCTGTGAAGACTCCAGGTGCTTCTGCCAACAAGCCTGCTTGGCATTCAAACTCCTGGTCGTGGACTCCTGCCTCATAGTGCTCACTTCTGCCTCCAACTCTTGCATTAGTCTTGATGGATGAAATCTAGATTATATGTCTGCTTCCCATTTGAAAGGGAACCTGGAAAATACAGGAGCTCTACCTTGAGCGTGAATAAGTCACAATGTGAGAAATAGCAAACCAGTAAGATGTTGCTCAAAAGTTTCTGGGCACTAAAAAAAACATATTCCTGCTACAATTGTACGAATAATTTTTTTCCCAGACTTTCTAGAAACTGATAAGTCTGGTGCTACTAAACATTTATAAAATGTAGTTGATATAGTTTAGATATTTGTTCCTGCCCAAATCTTATGTTGAAATGTAATCCCTAATGTTGAAGGTGGGATCTGGTAGGAGGTGTTTGGATCATGGGGGTGGAACCCTCATGAATGGTTTCGGCTATCCTCTTGGTGATGAGTGAGCTTTCACTGAGTTCACACAAAATCTGGTCATTTACAAGTGTTTGGCAACTCCCCTCCCACTCTCTCTCACTCTCATTCACTCCTGCTTTTGTCATGTGACATGCCTGCTCCCCCGTCACCTTCCGCCGTGATTGTAAGCTTCTTGAGGCTTCTCAAGAAGCAGAGCTGGTGCCAGCACCAACCTTCCTGTACAGCCTGCAGAGCCATGAGCCAATTAAACCTTTTCTTTAGAAATTACTCAGTCTAATATATAGCAATGCAATAACAGCTTAATATGCTAGTCAAGGAAAAAAAACATAAATTCTTTTTATAAAGCCTGTATAATTTTAAAATCAACACCTTGTCAACTTCCCCCACAAAAATCTCATTAATATCAAAGCAAAAATCCTGAACAAAATACTACCAAGTGAAATCTAGTGATGCATTTTAAATATAATTACACCATGAGTAAGCAAGTATATTCCAAGAATGGAAGAAGTTTCATAATGGAATATCTTTCAATATAATTCACCATATTAATTAGTTAAAAGAGAAAGATGATGTAATTTCTCAATAAAAGCCTACTACATGGCATTTAATGAAATTTAATTCTCACTCCTGAATTAAAAAAAAACTGGAAGAAACATTTCATATAATAGATATTTGTGGGGTTCAGGATGCAGCTTTCTTTCTCCTTTCTTTTGTCAGTAGCAATCCAAATTTCCTTGAATCGTACCTATCCTCTTTCAGGCCACACACTTTGGTTAGGGCTGATACACTCAGTCCCACATGTAGGTGAGTAAGCCAAAAGCATAATGATATTTCCAACTTCTGACTACATGAGCTAATTCAGGCCCAGGATGATGTTCCAACTCTTCAGGCTATAGGATCTTTGGTTTTCCATAGGACTTGGACCTAGGAGGCTGTAGGCTGAGCAATATAGTTAGCCATGTTGCTCTTGCCTCAAACCTAAACTAGAACCATTAGAATGTAATTCTCACGAAGCCAGGTACTTTAGTTGTCTTGTTGGCAACCATATTTCTACACTAAAAGAGTAGTTCCTGGCACATAATAGGTACCTGATAAATATTTTCTGAATGAATGAATGATTGAAGCCACAGTTGAGGTACCTTAAGCTAAATTATGACAAACATCTGGATCTCATTGTCACTTGAGACCCTAAATCAAACTGAACCAATCTTATGATTTTTCAATTACAGGAGGCACATTCTATTTTTGCTCAGATCAATTTGGATGAGAGTTTTGGATATTTGCACCCAAAAAGGCCCTAACTGAAACATTGTCTTAACATGATGTTTTAAAGCATATGAAGTCTATTCTCCTTAATTTATTGAATACATTCAATGTAGTCCCAAACAAAATTCAAGCAGGTTTTAATTGGTTCAAGACTCAACAAAATGCCACTAAAATTTATTTAAAATTATAAATATGTGATTAATTTATTTTTATTTCCATAGGTTTTTTGGGGAACAAGTGGTATTTGGTTACATGAGTAAGTTCTTTAGTGGTGATTTGTGAGATTTTGGTGCACACATCAAGCGAGCAGCATACACTGAACCCAATTTGTAGTCTTTTGCCCCCCCAACCCTTTCCCCTGAATCCCCGAAGTTCATTGTATCATTCTTATGCTTTTGCATCCTCATAGCTTAGCTCTCACTTATGATTGAGAACATACGATGTTTGGTTTTCCATTCCTGAGTTACTTCACTTAGAATAATATTCTCCAGTTCCATCAAGGTTGCTGCAAATGCCATTAATTCATTCCTTTTCATGGCTGAGTAGTATTCCATCGTATATACATATACCACAGTTTCTTTATCTACTCATTGATTGATGGGCATTTGGGCTGGTTCCATATTTTTATAATGTGAATTATGCTGCTATTAACATGCATATATAAGTATCTTTTTAATATAATGACTTCTTTTCCTCTGGGTAGATACCCAGTAGTGGGATTGCTGGATCAAATGGTAGTTCTACATTTAGTTCTATAAGGAATCTCTACACAGTTTTCCATAGTGATTATACTAGTTTACTTTCCCACCAGCAGTGTAGAAGTGTTTCCTTTTCACTGCATCCACACCAACATCTAATATTTTTAGATTTTTTATTATGGCCATTCTTGTAGGAGTAAGGTGGCATTGCATTGTGGTTTTGATTTGCATTTCCCTGATCGTTAGTGATGTTGAGCATGTTTTTCATATGTTTGTTGGCCATTTGTATATCTTCTTTTGGGAATTGTCTATTAATGTCCTTAGCTCACTTTTTGGTAAAATTATTTGTTTTATCAAATTTTTTTTTAGTTCCTTGTAGACTGTAGATATTAGTCATTTGTCAGATGTATAATTATGTAAGAATAGTCAGGATCTTCCTGAAGAAAAAAAAAGACTACAGGAAGAATCTTATCTTTAGCTCCATCATATATAAAACATAATAAAAAGTGAAAGTAGCTAAAATATTATATTATTGACACCAGATAGACAGATTGTCTGTTAGAGTAGAGTCCCAAAATAGACCCGACTATACCAGTGAAAAGAAGAAGAGAATGGAGATACTGCTATATTTGTAATTTCTTTATACTTTGCTGAGTGCTGACTTACTCGTTACCACGAAGGTGGGAGCCATGGTTACACCTCTCTTCACTGTATACCCAGAAACCAACACAGTCCTTGGAAGGTAGGAAGATGTAAACATTTGTTGTCTGATTGAACAAATGTTAGGGAGTAGTTCATGTATTGCTTGAGGGCCACCCAGCTTAAGTAAACAGTGGTTGGTGATTCAAACAATAGTTTCTTAGGAGAAATACATATCATTTATTAAATCATAGAAAGTCCCATTCAAATCATGATAGAAAAAATTGATTATTCAATAAGCATACTATTTTGAAATATTAAAGATAGATTTACACTCTACTTCTCATGCTTAAATAAACTAATATTGTTTTATAATAGCAAAAACACTGGGAAGAACTTAATCTCTAACAATATGGCACTAATTAAGTTCTTAAAACATACTTAGGGAGATGTCGAAGACAAATTAATATACGTAAAAGCTAATAGCAGAATACTAAATATAGTATTCTTTCTTTAGTATAAAACCAATCTATCTTATATATAGTAATATACGAGCAAAAAAACTTCAAAAACGATATGCAATGCACAGCATGATCTAAAACTAGGTGAAGTCAACATGTGGTTGAGGAGATCTTATTTGAAATTTTAAATTTTTTCCCACCAAGCATTATAGCACTTTAATGTTTGAAATAAAGAATACAGTTGGAAAAAAAAATAAAAGGAAATGTTTAGGACCTAGCAGTTAGATAGCAATTGAATTCAAGCCAAGTGTACAGATAGGAGTGTCTGAAATGGCTTTCCCTCTTACGATGATGATATATTTGGAAAGGTCCGGTGGGGTGTTTCTAAGGAAACTTAGCAGTGAAGTCCAAAACCATCATCTCCATCAAAAAAAGGGAGTAGGTCTCTGCGTTATGGGAAGATAAAAAGGGGAAGTGAATTGAATATTACATTAATAACAAAAGTAAACATCTTTGTTTAAAACAACAACAGTCCTGCAGCTATTAAATCTCAGCAGACAGAACCAGACGAGAACAGGACTAACTGCTCAGATAAGACCCTGCCAAGAGTGAAAGTATCAGCAAAAGGAAATGTATGCTAGTCTAAAACTCAATTAATTTCATCAAGGGTATCACTGAAAACAAATTATCATGTCCGATAACACAAAACCCTCACAAGCCAAAGGACACAGATAACACTCAAGTTCAAAGGCTTATAGTTTACTTTGTTTTTAGTAAGCTACATTTTCTCTAAACATAACAGGAATAATTAAAGGATGTTTCCTGTGCTGTTTCTGATATTAATTAAAGCTGTCCAGTGGTACCGATATGAGAACAATAGTGATAGAGCCAGCCAGTTTCATGTGAACTGCTTGTTGCAAATCAACTGAGGAGTTTGCTTTTTGGTATTAGCTCAATCTCACTTGTTCATGTTTGGAGTTACAGCAATGCAAAGTGCGTCCTTTTTCTTGACAATTGCCTTTCTATCTTCTTGTAGTGAGATTAGGAAATGAGCCAAGTGAAAGCTTGGTATCTGCACAAGCACAGATGGACATTGCTCTGTAGGTGGTTGAACTCTTTCCACAGTAGCCATTGGCTGGTGCACATCTGATTACCATTGTTTGGTCGCTCAAATGGGATTGTTTTTACTTTTGCTTTTTGATTTGTTAAAGAAAAATACAGAGTTGAGGAAACAGCTCAGGAATGAAGGCTGTGGCTCTGTGTTCTCACTCCCAAATATGACTCACATCTCTAATGAGGCTTGGGGCCAGTCACTTAACTCCTATGGCTCAATGTCTTTCTCTATAAAAAAAGAAATGGTAGCACCAAATGATCTGCAGTGGTGTTTTTGAAATTATCTAATGAGTGTAAAGGAATCTGAGAAAAAAATAAGGCAAAAGGAAAGATATATATCTTTATCTATAAAAGGGAAATAAAGATTGCTACATGATAAATTGTTGTCAAGGAAGAAAAACATCTCTAAGGGAGAGCTTTAAAAATAGAACAAATTTTTATTTCTCTGGGGTGGTCCTAAAGGATCTGAAGACACATATTGGAACTAGATAGTCTTACCAGGTCTCTTCCAGTCCTATGACTTCATAATGCCAAATCCTGAAAGATTGTCTATGTTATACCTACGAAAATAGACTTATCATTCTAGTCATTAAAGAACAAAAATGTGCCACAGTTCTTCTGTGTTTTACAAATTGAGCAAAACTGCTGAACTATGAAAAAAGTTTTAAATCTCAACTCCTATAGCTCTTACAAACCTCAGGGAAAGTTCTAAAATCTTAACTTATAAAAATGAATTTTAGCAAAGAAAATGGATTACCATATTTCAATTAAAATTCTAAAGGACCCCAAAGGCCTTGAGAAGAAAAGATACAAAAACTGCCTTCAAAAACTGAAAGCAGTAACAACAACAAAAAAAGCCAATAAAAAAATCCCACAATAAAATAATTTAATGAACATATGGATTTTTGCAACTGTTGAAGTTTGCTGCCAATTTTGTAGTTAATATTTCTGAAAGTCAGAATATGCTGATCACTACGTGTTTATAAAAACATTCTCAATAGTAAAGACAAAATATTGCACTTTGGCACATTTACTGAGCACATGGGCAATTATATCAGACTCTTACTTCACTCAAAAAGGAGAGTAAAGTAAAGGAGGAAGCCTCTCTTGTAGTTTTATGTGATCTGTTTCAATACCTTAGGACTCTTGATGTAAGGGCTTTCTGTATGAACAGCTCACCAACATAGAAACAAATGACAATAGTCCTTTAAGTATTTAGTAATTGTAAAAATATTTGGGAAGATAAAAACGTGGGATTTTTTGTGATATTTTCCAATGACAGCTGGAAATATGATTTTTCTTTACTTCAGGAAACTAAAACCTCTGGGATTTTTCAAATGTTTATTTTGGACAAAGACTATGAAAACATTCAGTATTTACCCTAGTGCCATTTGAAGCTCGTGTTTTGGGTCTGAGACGTCGTTTGGGCCTGAGATGTGCTCAGATTTTCATTTCAGTTGATGTAGCTTTGACTTGGAGCAAAACGTTACCTGTCATAGACTCGCACTGTGGAGAAAAGCTCAAGGCATGAATTAGTATCTTTAAAAATGTGCTCTTTCAAGCTCATGATCCTTTGGGGAGATCTGAAAGTCAAGAATTTAAGACTTTTCCTAAATAAAGGGGTTCTGGTACATCTGGAAGATGCATTTTTTTTCTCTCTCTCTTCTCTAAGAGAGAAACTGGGAGTGGGTGTAGTGGCTCATGCCTGTAATCCCAGCAATTCAGGAGGCCAAGGTGGGTGGATCGCTTGAGCCCACGAGTTCAAGACCAGCCTGGACAACATGGCAAGACCCTGTCTCTACAAAACATACAAAAAATTAGCCAGGTGTGGTGGCACATGCCTGTGGTCCCAGCTACTCAGGAAGCTGAGGTGGGAGGATAGATTGAGCCCAGGAGGTTGAGGCTGCAGTGAACGTGATTGCACCACTGTACTCTGGCCTGGGTGACAAGAGTGAGACCCTGTCTCAAAAAAAAAATTAAATTAAATTAAAAAAAGGAGAGAGATAGGGAGAGGGAGAGAGAGAGAGAGAGAGAGAGAGAGAGAGACACTGAATGTGAAGGGGATACCAGGAGAGCTCTTCGGTTTCCATTCTCTATCTTCTCTAACCAGGATGAGTATTAGGAGACACGCAGCCTCTAATGATTATATAGAGTAAGATGGCGTTGATATAATAGATCTTCCTTCAGCTCTGCTCTCAAGAGCTACACCTATTCCTTTTTTTTCCTGGGGTGAGAGTGAGTGCTTTTCTTCACTCACTTTATGGCAAGTCTTGCAGAAGTAGCTCCTGTCTCCGGTTCCCCTACTTCACTCCCGTGTTTCTTCACCTGGTTAAAGTTATGGGTGCACAACCATTTCTGCGTTTTAAACCAACTTCCCACTCTCGATGCAGGTAATAATAAAGTGGGTTTGGGAAAGGCCAAGATTTAGGCACGAAAGCCAGCTAATGTGGACAAAGCAAAGTGAGGAGAGGGAAATATCTGTCAGGGAGGGAGCATTTCCTGAGCCTGAGGAGTGAGAACTTTCTACAAGAGGGTCTGGCCGGGTCTGTGTCTGCCCAGAAATCTTCTAATGGAGCTCAGAAAAAGGCTACTTTGCTTTGTGACAAGCAGAGTGTGCCCATTGTGGTTCTCTTTGCAGGAGACCTGGCCCAGCAGGCTGTCTGGCATAGCATGAGTTTCCCCGTCTCTAGAGCGTATAGGCAGCAGCCAGATACCAACCAGCTCAGATGTGGGAGAGATGGGCATTGTAGTTCTTCACTGTCATTTTAACCTGTCTTAATCTCCTCCTGAAATGATAAAGTAGCTGCAAACAACATCAAAACCTGGTAATATTAACATGATTTTTAGCCAAGGAGCCATGTCTTCAAAAGAAAATGTGTGTGGAAACTCAATATACAAAACAGCTAAAAGTCAAGCTATTCTAGGTTTGTGGTGGGATGGGGACCTGAGACCCCACTCAATTGCATCCCCTGCTGCCCTCCCTAAGAACCTGTCCTCAGAGAATCCTATGAAAATTATTGCTATAACCGAACACCTCTGCTTTTGAGTCCACACACACCTAGCATATCACATACTCACAGACAGATGCTTTTTCCCCATTGCGAGAAATGCAATGCCAGATTTCAATGTTCCTGTGACCTGCACAGAAAACAGTCCAGGGATTGTGCCCACTTTCTCACAAATTCTTGCTAAGTGCTTAGTATGTGCCAGGCACTGTTGTAGTTGCAGGGCTACAGTGATACGTCAGTAGCCATGATCCCTGTCCATATGGAAATGTACTGCACCGTGAAGCTTTAGTGAAATGATAAAGTAGCTGCAAAACACATCAGCATCCCCATTCCTGTTCTCCTTCTTCTTTGGCCTTTGTCTCCTCTAGGCCATTCCTTTCCAACTTTCCAACCTCTAGGTCATTATGGTATCGTTGGTTTCACTTGACCATTTGAATACTCCAGGTAAATTCTTGAACAATAAAGCTCACATTAGAGGGGGAGATTGAACATGTCTCAAGTCATCTGAAAAATTCTGGAAGTTTTAGTCCACTACAGTGGTGTGACATGGTTCACAAAAAACTCTAGGCTGCATGAACAGGAGCATCATTCCTGATCCAGTGAACTTTTAGTCTTGTTGTCTTCTCTCTTTTCAGATCACATCCAGGGGCCAAAACCAGTTCTGTGAGCCACTGGATGAAGACATTGACCAACTAGAAAGCATCTGCAGAGGTCAAGTAGGACCATGGGAGATCCAGATTCCATTTAAACAAGAATGCCTTAAAGAAGTGGGAATATTTAGCCTGAGTGAGAGAAAATGCTCTTACTCTGTGTGTGATCAGAGGAGGAGAAAGGAGGACAAAGTTACATCAATGTGATCAGCAACCATTTGATAGAGCTACTGTGCTCAAGAGGGGACAGTTTGATTTATACGTTTGACAAGGTGGAGCCAGGATCAATGAGTGAACATTAAAGGAAAGAATATTTGGGCTCAATATTTGGGCTCAATATTTTGGGCTCAATAATTTGGGCTCAATAAGGAGGACTTTCCCAATAATTACAACGTTCCAAACTTGAAATGGGGTGTCTCAAAAAGGAGTGAGTGCCCTGTTACTGAAAACATTTAGGTTAGGGCTAAATAGCCATCAATTAGGGTGATATAATGAGATTCCTGTGACTGTTCCAACAAGCATCTGGTGTGCACCAGTCATGTAGATTCTAAGAGACACTGAGAGCAAAGAGAAACACTTCCTCCCTCAAAGAGCTCAGGGTTTCAAGAGACTGACATGTAAACAAACTGATAATAATGGCAATTTGGTATAACATATGCAATTTGGAGTAACGTGTGCAAAGGAACATGGGCCAAATTTTAACTACTAGAGAGAGAAAAGCTGATGCTCTGCTAGGGGTAGGAGGAGGCTGAGAATGAAACTAGAGAGGATTTTAGGGAGAAGGTAATGTTGAGCAGATTTGAAGGATATGTAGGAGTTTTTTGTGGACACTATTGTTCAATTAATGCTGGTCAATAAGGAGAACACTCAGGATAAGTGGGGCAGGGGTTGGGGGTTGCAAAAGACATGGAGGTAGAAACAGCATGGCTTATCAAGGACCCAACTGGTTTGAAAGATCTTCAGCATAAGGTGGTGGGAAAGGGAAGAGAGGGGAAGTGGCAGGAGATCAAGAAGATGGGAGAGCAAGAAAGAGAATGCCTTTGATCTTGAACAGAAGGGCTTCCCTCATGGAGATGAGAGGAAATGCATAGCAATGTGGAGAGAGTAAGGGCTGGTCAGTAAGATTAACATGGCTGGTGACAACATATTTCTCAGTGAATAACTGATCAACATAAGACGAATGAAGTTGTGTAGGGGTCTCATGGAGACTGTCCTAAAGACTTAGCATAATTGTGGGCAATGTGAAGGAAAGGCAAAATAATTGATAGATAGCATCAAGTACCGAAAGGGAAAATATTAAAATTTGTAGCGTCAGTCCACACAGGCCTCTGATTTTCTTTAAGAGCACTCAGATGTGTAGGGGGTCAGAGGAGATGGGCTCTAAGGTCTTTTCTAAGTTCAAGATTCCCAAACTCCATGCCTTGCCATTATTCCCTCTTGGGCATATGGGATATTTTGTAATGGCTTTTAAAAAATATATACCATATAATTGCCAAGGAAAATTGTCTAATTAAATGATTTTTAGTATATTCACAGAATTGTGTTAGTATCATCCTAATCAATTTTGGAAAATTACTCCCAAAAAAAATCCTGTACAGGCATACCTCAATTTATTGTGCTTCACTTTACCGTGTTTCACAGATACTGCGTTTTTTTCCAAATTGAAGGTTTGTGGCAACCCAGTGTTGAGCAAGTCTATTGGTGCCATTTTGCTAATAGTATGTGCTCACTTCGTGTCTCTGTCACGTTTTGGTAATTCTTGCAATATTTCTAACATTTTCATTATTGTTATGTTATGGTGTTGTGATCAGTGATCTTTGATATTGTTATTGTGATTGTTTTGGGACACCACGAACTGTGCCCATATAAGATGGAAAACTTAATTGATAAATGTTGTCTGCGTTCTGATTCTTTCATCAACTGGCTCTTCCCCCGTCTGTCTCTCCCTCTTCTTGGGCCTCCTATTCTTTGAGACACAACAATATCGCAATTACACCAATTTAATAACTCTACAAAGGCCTTTACGTGTTCAAAAAAAAGGAAGAGTCATAAGTCTGACATTTGAAATCAAAAGCTAGAAATGATTAAGCTTAGTGAGGAAGGCATGTATAATGCTGAAAGCTGAGATAGCCAAAAGCTAGAACTCTTGAGCCAAACAGTTAGCCAAGTTATGAATGCAAAGGAAAAATTCTTGAAGGAAATTAAAGGTGCTATTCTAGTGAACACATGAGCAATAAGAAAGTCAAACAGCATTATTGCTGAAATAAAGTTTGAGTAGTCTGGATAAAAGATCAAACCAACCCCAACATTCCCTTAAGCCAAAGCCTAATTGAGAGCAAGGCCATAACTCTTAAATTCCCTGAAGGCTGAGAGAGGTGAGGAAGCTACAGAAGAATAGCTGGAAGCTAGCAGAGGTTGGTTCACAAAGTTTAAGAAGCCATCTCCATAACATAAAAGTGCAAGGTGAAGCAGCAAGTGCTGAGATGGAAGCTGTAGCAAATTATCCAGCAGATCAAGCTAAGATCATTGATGAAGGTGGCTACACTAAACGACATATTTTCAATGTAGATAAAACAGCCTGCTTTGGAGAAAGATGACATCTAAGACTTTTCTAATTAGAGATGTCAGTGTTTGCCTTCAAAGCTTCAAAAGAACTGGCTAACTCTCTTGTTAGAGGCTAACGCAGTGGGTGACTTTAAGTTGAAACTAATGCTCATTTACCATTCTGAAAATCTTGGGGCCCTTGAGAATTATGCTAACTATTCTACCTGTACTGTATAAATGGAACAGCAAAGCCTGGATGACAGCACATCTGTTTACAGCATGATTTACTGAATATTTTAAGCCCACTCTTGAGACCTACTGCTCAGAAAAAAAAAAAATCCTTTCAAAATATTACCACTCATTGACAGTGTACCTGATCATCCAAGAGCTCTGATGGAGATGTACAAAAATATTAATGTTGTTTTCATGCCTGCTAACCCAACACCCATTCTGCAGTTCATAAATCAAGGGGTAATTTTGACTTTCAAGTCTTATTATTAAGGAATACATTTTGTAAGGCTATAGCTTCCATAGATAACAATTCCTCTGATGGATCTGTGCAAAGTCAATTGAAAACCATGTGGAAAGAATTCTCATTCCGGATGCTGTTGAGAATATTTGTGATTCATAGGAGGAGGTCAAAATATCAACATCAACAGGAGTTTGGAACAAGTTGATTCCAACCCTCATGGAGACTTTGAGGGGCTTCAAGACTTCAGTGGAAGAAGTAACTGTAGATGTGGGAATAACAAGTCGACTAGAATAAGAAGTGGAGCCTGGAGGTGGGACTGAATTGCTGCAATCTCATGATAAAACTTTAATGGATGAAGAGTTGCTTCTTACAGATGAGCAAAGAAAGTAGTTTCTTGAGATGGAATCAACTCCTAGTGGAGATGCTGTGAAGATTGTTGAAATGACAACAAACGATTTAGAACATTACATCAACTTAGTTGATAAAGCAGCAGCAGGGTTTGAGAGAATTGACTTTAATTTTGGAAAAAGTTCTAGTGTGGGTGAAATGCTTTCAAACTGCATTGCATGCTATAGAGGGATCTTTTGTGAAAGGAAGAATCAATTGACACAGCAAACTTCACTGTTTTCTTATTTTAAGAAGTTACCACAGCCACCCCAACCTTCAGTAGCCACCACACTGATCAGTCAGCAGCCATAAACATCAAGGCAAGACCCTCCACCAGCAAAAAGATTATCAGTCACTGAAGGCTCAAAAATGGTTAGAATTTTTAGCAATAAAGCATATTTTAATTAAGGTATGTACATTGCTTTTTTAGACATATTACATTTAATATATTATTCTACAGTATAAACGTAACTTTTTTTTTTTTTTGAGATGGAGGCTCGCTCTGTCACCCAGGCTGGAGTGCAGTGGCGTGATCTCGGCTCACTGCAACCTCCACCTACTGGTTTGAAGTGATTCTCCTGTCTCAGCCTCCAGAGTAGCTGGGATTACAGGCACCCGCCACCACTCCTGGCTAATTTTTTGTATTTTTTAGTAGAGATGGGGTTTCACCATGTTGGCCAGGCTGGTCAACTCCTGACCTCAGGTGATCCACACAGCTCAGTCACCCAGAGTGCTGGGATTACAGGCATGAGCCACCGCACCCGGCCTAAACATAACTTTTTTATACACGGGGAATCAAAAAACTTGTGAGGCTTGCTTTACTGCGCTATTTGCTTTATTGCTGTGGTCTGGAACCAAACCCACAGTGTCTTCAAAGTATGCTTGTATCTATTAGCAGCCACTCCCCATTTCCTCTCCACCTTACCCCAGCCCCTGGCTGCCACTGATCTATTTCCTGTACCTATAGATATGCCTATTCTGGATGTTTTATGTAAATGGAATCATACCGTATGGCCTTCTGTGACTTGCTCCTTTCACTTAATATTTTCAAAGTTCATCTATTTGACAGCACAAATAACTACTCCATTCCTTTTATTGCGGAATAATATTCCATTATATGTATATATACCACATCTTCTTTATGCACTCATCAGTCAATGGGCATTTGGGCTGTTTCCACTTTTTGGCTGTTATGAACAATGCTGTTTTGAACACTCATGTACAAATTTTTGTATTGACACCTGCTTTCATTTCTTTTGGCAAACTGAATATTTTTTATCCCTACTGCCTGAGATATCACATTATAAGCTCACTGTTTTCAGAAGTGCCACAACATTTCTAAGTGATACTGTGGAATTTTCATCTCACCAACTCCCAAAAAGTACAAAATAACAGCACCCTTTAAGGCCTATCTATGAAACTTTATTTTATTCCTGAGGGCGGCCTGCTTGATGGTTCTAGGGCTCAAGGCATGTCTAAAGAGGCACTGTATGCTGCTTCCTCACAAATCATACACACACACACACACACACACACTCATTTACAGTGTTTGTAAACAGATTACGTGTATTATGATAGATGTTATTGTTTTTTCATTTGATTGAGGGAAAATTTGTCCTCTAGTTGTGGGACCATAGCCATTTCATCATCTCGAAATGATTCTCCTCTCCTGCCTGTTCTGCCTTAAAAGGACACTTACAATTTAGGTCGGAGTTCTAGTGGGACAGCAGATACCTTTTTCACAGTGGAAAGAGACATCTGGTCAAATCACCCCGGGAAACTTTTTTTTTCTTTTTTGAGACAATGTCACTCTGCACCCAGGCTGGAGTGCAGTGCTGCTATCTCAGCTCACTGCAACCTCCACCTCCCAGGTTCAAGTGATTCTTGTGCCTCAGCATCCTGAGTAGCTGGGATTACAAACGTGCACCACTATGTCCAGGTATTTTTTTTGTATTTTCAGTAGAGACAAGGTTTCACCATGTTGGCAAGACTGGTCTCAAACTCCTGGCCTCAGGTGATCTGCCAGCCTTGGCCTCCCAAAGTGCTGCGATTACAGGCATGAGCCTACCCCTGGTAACTTAATATAGAGGGGGGGAGTTTGGTTAACTGTTTACTTGCGTAAGTCCCTACTTAGCAATCCTGAACTGAGAAAAGAAAAAACAAGGCCCATTGGGTGATCCAAACCTTTACAAATTAACACAGCACTGAACAAAGGAGATTTGTTAATAGGAAACTGGTTCAAAAAGCATTACTACTAGAGCTTGCATGCGATGACTGAGTTCCGTAGGCCTCCATCTCTGGGAGAGGCATCTCCCAAGGCCACTCATAATGTCACTAGGGAAGGGAAAAAATAAAACCAAACAAAACCTTTCTCTGTCCTTGGGCCTTCAAGATCTCCAGCAGTGATCCCTGTAATGAACCCTCCTTCTCTGAGATCCCTTCTGCTTGGGGTTGCTCTTTCGGCTCTTTTCTCAAGAGCTACTTCTGGTGCCTTCTCCTAGCCAAGCGTTTTTCTTACTCACTTTCCCTGCAACTCTTGCAGTGGGGTCTCTGTTTTCCCTTAGCTTCACCTCCATTTCCATGTTTCTCTAAAAATCTACAGAGACCCACCAGGCACAGTGGCTCATGCCTGTAATCCCAGCACTTTGGGAGGCCAAGGCGGGCGGATCACTTGAGGTCGGGAGTTCGAGACCAGCCTGACCAACATGGAGAAACCCTGTCTCTGCTAAAAATACAACATTGGCCGGGCATGGTGGCACATGCCTGTAATCCCATTTACTCGGGAGGCTGAGTCAGGACAATCACTTGAACCTGGGAGGCGGAGGTTGTGGTGAGCTGAGATCGTGCCATTGCACTCCAGACTGGGCAACAAGAGTGAAACTCTGTCTCAAAAAAAATAAAATAAAATAAAATCTGCAGAGATCTGGGGAAATAGGAAGAAGGTAGGATTAAGACGGAGACTAATTCAGAGCATGGTGGAAGGGTTTTCTCCAGCTCCTTTGCTATTTTCTGCACCCCCCCGCCCCGCCGTCCTCCTTCCACACTCCTCCATCCTCCCAGGTCGTTCCTTCCTCAGTGCATCTCCTACCTGCCCAGGACTTTGCTTTTCTGTCTCTTCTGTGAAGCAGATGTGGGGACATATACCCTGCTTCCATCAGAGGGAGGTGCTCATTCAACCAGTATTGATTAATAATCTGTTTAGAAATCAGTATTTTATAGGAAACCCTCGTGCTGTCACCACGAGATTTCCTTTCAAGTTAACAGGAAAACTCAAGCTGACATCGTCCATTTTAATAACTGTTTCAACTCACCAGCAGATATGGGCATTTTACCAGCCTTACTTAAAGTGGACCGGCAAAAAGACAAAATGTAACTGGGTCAGAATAAAACTGGAAAGGAAGGTGATACTAATAATTAGAAAAAATAATTCAAAAGTTTCAGAAATTGTTATCTGCGTATGGCCAAACCTGAGTCTTGCAGCAAGTTCCTAAGGGCTCTAGTAATAGATGTTTTTAGTAGAAAATAATGCTATCAGGAAATGTAGTAACTATTTTTAAATGTTGATTAAGGACCCCTGTTTCTAATAGGAAGGAATAGGAAGCACAGAACACTACTCCCACTGTAACAGCTAAAAGAGATGGATAATTTGGAAAATATATATATATATATATATATATATAGACAGATATAAAATATATAATTAATTTAATTTCTATTTTAAAACATATGTATACTTTAAAATATTTAACAGTATACTACTTATGCTAATATATTATAAAAATTATAAATACATTTATATACATATAAGCTGACCCTTATAATTCTCAGATTCCTTATTTGAGAATTCTACTCACTAAAATTTATTAATAATGCCAAAACCAAAGTTCCCAGGCTTTTGAAGTGTTTTGGGACATGTGGATGCACAGAGGGCAAAAAATTTGAGTCACCCAACATGCATGTTCCCAGCTGAGGTCAAACAAGGCAATGTCTGCTTTCTTGTTTCAGTTGTCATGATGCGAACACTATGTATATGTATAACACTACTAAATAGACTGTCCTTTTCACTACTGAGTGCCAAGTTTTTTATATTTTTGTGCTTTTTGTTGCTCATTTCGCTATTTAAAATGGTCCTAGTGTTCCTAAGAGCAAGAAGGCTGTCATGTGCCTCACAGAGAAAATAGATGTTTTAGAGCTTTGTTCAGGTGTGAGTTATAATGCTGTTGGCCATGAGTTCAATGTTAATGAATCAATAATGTAAGTTAAATAACCTAATCTTGTATTTTCCCTAAGGATGACAATTTAGTATACATTAATTTGGGGTTCATGGTGACTTTATGGAACCAAATAATAAATTCTATAAATTCTTATAGAATCAAATAATGAGAATAAACTCTGTATATAATTTTTACATATACATATATCATTTTCATATATTTATATAATTTTTATTTCTTATATATACATAATTTTAACATACATATATGTTTGATTGTTTTGCTATATTCTACGTCTCTTAGCCTCTTTTCCATTATTTTGTATTCTTTTTCTCTCTGACTTTCAGTCAAATGTTTTCTTATTGACCCTCTTGCTGTGTCTTGACAGCTCATCCACGAAGATTTGGATATATATACACACACACACACACACACATACACACACACACACATATATATATATATATATATATGTAATATGAATTTCAGAAGGAAAGGAGAAAGAGAACAGGGCAGATGCATTGTTTGAAGAGATAATGACCAACAATCAACCTGTAGCTTCAAGAAGCTCAGAGAACCCCAAATAGGTAAATAAAAAAATTAAAAAAAAATCACACTAGACACATGATAGTCGAACTGTTGAGAACAAAAGATATAGACAAAATCTTAAGGACAGGCACAGCTGTAATCCCAGCACTCTGGGAGGCCAAGGCAGGTGGATCACCTGAGATCAGGAGTTCGAGACCAGCCTGGCCAACCAACATGGTGAAACCGCATCTCTTCTAAAAATACAAAAATTAGCCAAGCATGGTGTTGCATGCCTGTAATCTCAGCTACTCGGGAGGCTGAGGCAGGAGAACTGCTTGAACCCAGGAGTTGGAGGTGTCAGTGAGCTGAGATTCTGCCACCGTACACCAGCCTTGGGCGACAGAGCAAGACTCCGTCTCAAAAAAAAAAAAAAAAATCTTAAAAGCAGCTGGAGGAAAGAGACACATTACCTTCAGAGGGACAACAATAAGAATTAAAAATGACTTCTCAACAAAAACTAGAGATGCAGAGAACAATGAAATGACATATTTAAAGAGCTAAGGGGAAAAAGCTTCCAACTTACAGTTCAATATCCAGAGAAAATATCTTTCAAAAATGAAGGCAAATTAAAAACAAAAGCCGGAATTCATTCCCAACAGATCTGCATTACAATAAATAAAGTTCTTCAGCTTGAAGGATAAATGGATAAATCAGGCTATCACTTGAGACTTGTTACCTTCACTGTATTTAGATTTAAATATACATAATACATAAGTTGACCTCCAAAATTAAAAAATTCCCAGCCTCTCTTCCCATTGCAAGATCTCAAAACATCCACAATGTTGCTTATTTCTTCACATGACTGGGAAAGCAAGTTTCTTCAATAAAGGCCTTTAATAGGAAATCTGAAATCAATTAAATAATAAGCAAGGAATATGATGTCAAATATATGAAATGACCTATGATTTCACTGATTTCCTGACTTTTACCCTTCCTTTGCTCAGAATCCTGAAATTTATTCATTTTTTATTATTTTCCAAAAAGTTACTGTTCTTTCTGCCTTCTGATATAATCTCTGACAAAGTATCTGCTTTTTGGGTCCTTCATTTTCTATACCATTATCTCCAATGAATTATAAAATGTGTTGGATTGGCCAGGTGCAGTGGCTCACACCTGTAATCCCAGCACTTTGTGAGGCCGAGGTGGGCAGATCACCTGAGGTCAGGAGTTCGAGACCAGCCTGACCAATGTAGTGAAACTCCGTCTCTACTAAAAATACAAAAATTAGTTGGGCATGGTGGTGGACACCTGTAATCCCAGCTACTCGGGAGGCTGAGGCAGGAGAATCACTTGAACCTGGGAGGCAGAGGTTGCAGTGAGCCGAGATCATGCCACTGCACTCCAGCCTGGGCAACAGAGTGAGACTCTGTCTCAAAAAAAAAAAAAAAAAAAAAAAAAAGTGTTGGATTTTGTGTGATCCTATTCAATGAACTTGTAAATTATATCCTATTTGGATTGTTTCTTCTTTGTTTCATGTCTCCCTTCTCAAGTTTCTTGTGGGCACAAATTAATAAAGATATGGTTTAAATATAGGACTTTCCTTCTTCTTAGATATATATTTATCTGAGATATTTTTTGGATTTCCTTAAATTTCTGTGGATGGGTCTGCCTGGCCAGTCTGATGTACTGCCACTAAAGCTATCAAGCATATATCCAGCTAAGACCTTGAATAAAGGTTTATAATTTCTTGTTCTTCTACACTATGGCTGTGTTAAAATTCTCTTCCCATTTATCATTACTTCCCCTAGACACTTTACAAACTAAACCTTTTTTAGCCCCTGGTTCATTGTAAAAGTTTTTTATTTTATTTTTTACACTTGGTGTCTCAATCTGTCACCCAGGCTGAAGTACAGTGGTGTGATTATAGCTCACTGCTGTCTTAACATCCCAGGCTGAAGCAGTCCTCCTGCCTCAGCCTCCTGAGTAGCTGAAACCACAGACATGTTCCACCACATCCAGCTAATTTTTAAATTTTGCGTAGAGATGGGTTCGTGCCATGTTGCCTGGATTGGTCTTGAACTCCTGGGCTCACACAATCCTTCCTCCTCGCAATCCCAAAGTCCTAGGATTACAGGCATGAGCCACTGCGCCCAGCTAAAACTTTAGATGTATATTATTCTGGACTCACTTATTCTCTTAATAATTACAAAAATATTTCTAAAGATAGCATTTTCTTTTAGTCAAGTCTCCAAAAATCGTGCAAGTTTTAAATCTCTGCACAAGATTGTGCACTTTATGGACCCAGGTATGGAAGTACAAAGAGAGGATCATGAAAAAGTAAAGTATTAGAAATTTATAGATATCTTCTGGGTTATAAGGCATTGGTATCCTAGACTTTCACAGGCCTTGAAGTTAGCAGTTTAGTTCAAGTTTACCTAAATCTCCAAGGAGCATTGGGCTTCAGGTGACATCTTAGCAATAGATGCAAACCTAATTAGCAACATGCAGTAAATTAGTAATTAACAAATACATATTAATAACGTATAGTCCAAAATTAGCCAGGCGTGGTGGCGCATGCCTGTAATCTCAGCTACTTGGGAGGCTAAGGCAGAGAATCACTTGAACCTGGGAGGCAGAGGTTGCAGTAAGCCGAGATCACGCCATTGCACTCCAGCCTGGGTGACAAAAACAAAACTCTGTCTCAAAAAAAAAAAGCATGGTCAATTAGTAATTAGTAAATACTTATTAGTGATGTGTAGGAAATTCACAATTAGTACTAAATACTTTTTAGTGAAATGTGATCAGTGCGGCTCATGGAAGGCTGCTGGGGGCTTGTCTCTCTGTCCTTTCGCCAGGATTCCTGAGAGTATCAGGAAATGGGGCAAGTATTCTTTCCATAAAGTTGTATTAAAAGTTTAATTAACCTAAAGTGCTACATTAAAAGAACTTTTCTTTATCCTACAACATTTAAATATGATCAAATTCAATGTGTTGAGGGGAAAAGTGTTAGTTTAAGTCAGCAAAAATATCTATCTATTGTTGGAACTTCAGTTACATTTCAACTCTTCCTCAGTTTAACCATCATCTTTCCACCAGTTCTGGTCCCGCCTTTGGTGGCTGAGGCTACCACCTTTTCAAGTCCTTACCTTGGGAAGCTAGAAGATCAAGAAGCAGTTACTCTCCCAGGCTAGTGTCCCCGGCCTAGCACACTCATATTGCCAAGGGGAAGGAATTCACTGTCTACCAGATAAACAATCTCATTTCCCTTTCAATCACTGTTGGTTTTCCTTTGTTGGTAGAGTCACTTCCCATATCCACAGTGTCTCTTGAGAGAATCTCAGTCCTCCAAGCGCTACTGATTCTACATTACTTCTCTGCACTATTCCCTTGCTAGTAAAAGACGCATTTCTCAAAGGAAGAGCTGAATCTAAATGAAACAAAGTATCCATTGTTTTAAAAAAAGGAAACCAAGATTTTTACTGTGTTTTTGTTTGTTTGTTTGTTTTGTTTTTTTTTTTTGAGACGGAGTCTCACTCTGTCGCCCAGGCTGGAGTGCAGTGACCGATCTCGGCTCACTGCAACCTCCGCCTCCCAGGTTCAAGCAATTCTCCTGCCTCAGCCTCCTGAGTAGCTGGGATTACAGGCACATGCCACCATGCCCGGCTAATTTTTGTATTTTTAGTAGAGACGGGGTTTCACCATGTTGGTCAGGCTGGTCTCGGACTCCTGATCTCATGATCCGCCTGCCTCAGCATCCCAAAATGCTGGGATTACAGGTGTGAGCCACCGTGCCCGGCCTGTGTTGTTTTTCTTAGAGTAGCTTCCCTAACATAAGGAACAGAGTATCCCGATACAAACAAATATAAAACAAATAAATATGCTCACTTGTGTGGAATCAACAGGGTCACTTAAAGTGGACAGGTATCTTTGTACAGTAAGGATTCAATAAATTCTATTGATTGAATGATAACAAACACTGTTTATAAAAGGAGAAGGGTATCCTTCCTTTCTTCAGTAGCTCATGAAAGTCCTTGTCTTCAGGTATGTCATCGTGCTCTGAGATTCTCAGTTACAAAATTAGTGTGCAAGAAGCAATATATTCTTAATTTCAGCCTACTCAATATAATCTATTAACTAAAATGTCAAGGCTTTGATTACACCATAACTAGTACTCATAATTTGACCTTGAATACTACAAGAGCTGGAAATATCTTCTGAATCATCAAAGACTGACTTGATTCAATATGTTCTTTCTACTGAGCATATTTGTGGTATTAAAAAACTTTGAAATTGGTAACCTAGGGGAGCTCCTTGAGGGAAGGGCCAAAATATTGTTTGTTATAGTCTCATTAGCTATTTATACAATGCCTAGAGAAGTAAGAGCTCAATATTTGTTGAACTCAAAACATGGAAGGTAGAAATTGGTAAGGTGTGTAGCATGTATAGTAATTAAATCTGCTAACTAAAGACTTCATTAATAAGAACATCACATTGCTAATCCACAATAGGAAATAGAAGCATCATTAAAGGTTAGGAACCTTAATTTTACTGTTTATATAGCAGAATTTTGTTATGAAATGGAATTTCTCTAGTTATGCTGCCTAGAGGTAACCTTATTATATTTTTTTCTGAATGAACTTTGATTTTTAAAGGTAAATAAAAGTGCAAGAGATGGGTTTCCCAAACACACAGACATTCCTCAAGTTTGGCAATGTTATACTTTAGCAAAATCAGCACTTTAAAAATTGTATGTTGACTCCATAACTCATTTTTACACACCAGATTTAGACTTTAGAGCACTGCTAATGCTAACATTTCAACCCATCATTTTATAGCTACCTGCCAGGCAACAGTTTAATTTGGTATCATCACTTTATTTGTCCCCACAGTAGCTTATGTGACTAAAAATCCATATTTTGCTGATGATGTGGCCTTATATAGAGAAAATTCTAACGACTCCACCAAAATGCTGATAGCACTAATAAACAAATTAAGCAAAGTTACAGGATACAGAATTAACATACAGAAATCAGGAACATTTCTATACACTGACAACTATCTGAAAAAAAATTTTTTTAATCCTATTTACAAAAGCTACAAAAAATGCTTAAGAATAAATTTAACCAAGGAGGTGAAAAATCTATACATTGAAAACTATAAAACATTGATGAAAGAAATTGAAGAAGACACAAATAATGGGAATAAATGGAAAGATAGCCTATGAATTAAAAAGATTAATATTCTTAAAATGTCCATGCTATTCAAAGCCATCTACAGACTCAATTCAATCCCTACCAAAATTTCAATGACATTATTCACAGAAATAAAAAATTCTTAAAATTCATAGGGAACCACAAAACACCCCGAATAGCCAAAGCAATCTTGAGCAAAAAGAACAAAGCCAGAGGCATCACACTGACTTCTCAAACTATACTATAAACCTAATGTAATCAAACCTATATGGTACTGGCATAAAAAAAGACACATAGACCAATAGAATACAACAGAGAGCCCAGAAATAAATCAACTTATTTATGATCAACTGAGTTTTGACAGAGATGCCAAGAACACACAATGGGGAAAGGGCAATCTCTTCAACAAATGGTGTTAGGAAAATTAGATATGCACATGCAGAAGAATGAAACTGGACTCTTATTTCACCCTATATACAAAACCCAACTCAAAATGGATTAATGACCTAAACTTAAAAGGATACAACTGCTAGAAGGAAACATAGGAGAAAGGTCTACAACATTGGCCTGGGCAATTATTTTTTTAAATATGACCTCAAAAGTGCAGGCAATAAAACTGAATATAGACAAATGGGATTATATATCAAATGAAAACCTGCTCAGCAAAGGAAACAATCAACAGAGTGAAGAGATAACTTACAGAAAAGGAGAAAATATTTGCAAACCATACATCTGATAAGGGGTTAAAAGCCAAAATATACAAGGAAGTCAAACAATCGCAAAAACAAAAAAACAAACAAAAAAACTAAGTAACCCAGTTTTTAAAGATGGGCAAAGGATCTGAGTAGATATTTCTCAAAAGAAGACATACAAATAGCCACTAGGTATAAGAAAAAATGCTAATCACTAATCACCAAGGAAAGGCAAATTAAAACCACAATGAGCTGTCATCCCACACCATTTAGAATGGATATTATCAAAAAGATGAAAGTTAAAAAGTGTTGGTGAGGATGTAGAGAAAAGAAAACCCTTGTACACTGTTGATGGGAAAGTAAATTAGTACAGACATTATAGAAAATAGCATGGAAGTTCATCAAAAATTAAAAATAGAATACCCATTTGTGGATTGATCCAGCAATCTCACAAATTGATATATTTCCAAAGGAAATGAAATCAGTATATCAAAGAGATATCTGCATTCCCTATGGTTATTGCAGCACTATTCACAATAGCCAAGATATGGAATCAACCTTAGTGCCTGTCAGTGGATGAATGGATAAAGAAAATGTGGTATATATGCACAATGGAATATTAGTCAGCCTCAAATAAAGAAGGGTATCTCATTATTTGTGACAATTAGAATGAGCCTGAAAGGCATTATGTCAAGTGAAATAAGCCAGGCACCGAAAGGCAAGTCCTGCATTTATATGTCAAATCTAAAAAAGTGAAACTCAAAGAAGCAGAGTTAGAATGGTGGTTACCAGGGACTGGTGAGGAGAGGGCAGGGGTGTTGGTAGGATGTTGGTGAAAGAATAGAAAATTTCAGCCAAAGAGGAGAAATAAGTTCAGGAGATCTCTTATACAACATGAGGACCATAATTAATAACAATGTATTGTATACTTGAAAATTGCTGAGAGAATAGATTTTAAGTATTCTCAGCCTCCAAAATGATAAGTATGTGAGGTAATGCATATGTTAATTAGCTTTCTTTAGCCACTTCACAATGTGTACATATTTCAAAACAACATGTTGTACACTATAACATGTAAAATTTTGTCTGTTTAAAAATAAATACATTTTAAACAAATAAAAATATATTTTATAATGTTTTCTTTATAATTTTATTAAAATATTGCTACTGGTAAAAGGAAACATAATTCTGATAAACTTCATAAAATGGAAACAGAAAAAATAATTATTAGTTAATCAAACCAGAAAACATTAATCCCTGCTATGGTTTGGATATGGTTTGTCCTCACCAAAACTCATGTTGGAATTTGATCCCTGATGGGAAGGAGTTGGGAGATCTGGACCTAGTGGGACGTGTTTGGGTCATGCAGGCAGGATTCCTAATGGATGGCTTACTTCTGTTCTCACAGTAGAGTGAGTTTTTGCTCTTGAGTGAATGGATTATTTCTCACAGGAATGGATTAGTTCCCAAGAGACTGGGTTGTTATAAAGCCAGGCTACCCCTCAGATTTTCCTATTTTTGCAGGCATTTATTTCCCCTTTGACCTTCTTCACCATGATATGATGCAGTACAAAAGCCATCACCAGAAGCCAGGACTGTGATTTTGAATTTCTTAGCTTGCAGAACTGTGAACTAAATAAACCTCTTTTCTTTTATCCACTCTCAGGTATTGTGTTATAGCAACAAAAAACAGACTAAGACAAGCTCCAATTAGAAATTTATTTAGCTTAAGTTGATCAAAGATCAGAGGTATGAAATATTACAGATACATAGCCAAAGATTAGCTCTAATTGGTCAGGTATAATTGTGAATTTGTAATATTTTATAAATTCCTTCTTATTGCATATAAGTCTATGTCACCTTTCAGGAACATATTTTGTAGAGCAGGATTGGACTGCCTAGAATTGACCAAGGAGATCACAGTTGTAATAGCAAGAAAGAAGATTAGAAGATTTTGGCTATTTTTCCACTTTTCTGTAAACTTATTATTTTAAACTATTAATATATTCCATTTGGAATACACATACAATTTCTTTGTTACACTCAAGTGGAAACAAAGTGGGGTTTCTTAAGTCTCAATGAGATTATGATGATTTTTGAAATGGGAAATCGGTAGTCCTCCAAGCCTCAGCCGCTGAAGATCAGCCTTGCCAAAGCTCATGGCTAAGTGAAGACAATTTAAGAGAAGAGAATGTAGTGAAGTGACATATGTTGAAAAGAAATCACCGGCCTTCACACCTAATGCATTCCTTTACTTCTTAATGTCAAAGCAGGCATGGTTTTTCACCAACCCTACATTTGTACCAGATCTTTGAGAATCTGTCCCAGTGACATAGAACTAAGCCAGGCACATTTCACATGCAATTGGCTGGCTGTCACCCTGTGCTCCCCACAAACCCTGACAGATTGCTGATTCCTGTGCTGCCCAGGAATGCTCAATCCAGGCTTTCTTTGTCTCTCTGAAACATCTGCTTAGAAAAGAGAAAGGCGTTTTCCCCTAAACCGATGTTTTGTTTTCTCATTTTCTCTTTTGGGTCCAAGTCTTTCATATTTGCTCATCTAAACTTATTCTGACACACTTTGTGTGAATTTTTGTTTCGAACTACACATGTAAAATTCAAGCTAGTGTTCTTGGGAAAATTATCAAATAACTGCTTTTGCTGATTTTTTTTAATTGAATTAGGACATATATTACAACATCTGTTTTGTAGTTACTATAATAAATAATGTTTCACTTCTCAAGACTGAGTTACAGAAATAATTGGTTTTAACATGAGCTCATTTATTTAATATGGTCTATAAAATGTTCAAAAATTCCAAATAATATGACTGCCTAACAAAAGAACCAATCTGCTAACTGGATGAGGACTCAAGAGCTCTGTCTGAGGGCTCTACAGAAACCCATTTACAAATACTGGAGGAAGGTCTCAGCTGTCTAGTCCTGATGTTTGTTTATCCATCCAGCATAGCTTAGGGTGAAAGTCTTGTATTTGTTTCTATGGTTATAAACGGTCCCACCCTTCTGGACATTTACATTGAATCAGTCAGCCAGCCAGCCAGTTGTGCGAAAAAAGTCTGGGAGTAATTAAAATGAGAGTTATAAATTTTATTTTAATTTTTTTGCCATTGTACCATTTCTCTGTCAGAGTCTTACACAACCAAAATATCCAAGACAAGACTAATAATCTGAGAATGGTGAGAATATACTAGCAAATAAAGAACATATTAATAATTAATTCTAGCTATTAGGGCCGTATGAATCAGGTGTTCCTCCCTACCCCCCACCTGCTGTGTTTACCATAAGGACGTAAACAAGTCCATGCAGAGCTGGCCACTCTTGGGGGCAGGCCCAGCAAGGCCTGAATTGTATGAGGAGCCCTGGAGGCTCTTGGGAAAGAATTTATTGTAAGGGAAAGAAGGGTCAAGTGCACAAGTTTGTTGTACTAGCAATGTTTCAGCAATCAGAGGAGATGGGGATGAAAACAGCGTAGCATTTGCCGTTCCAATTTGTTCTCCACTGTCCTCTCTCAGAACTGGCAGTTAGGCGACTTCCAACAAAGGCAGAAGCAAGCCTCTATGACATCTTAAGAAACGAGAGACTCTTACCTGGCACACAGCTGGCTTTAAAGCTTCAGCAGAAATAGCAGCAAAGACATCATGGCCCCAGTACCCCAAAGCCTCAGGAGCCCCTTTGAGTGGAAGAAGGAGATGGAGACTTCTTATGAGGCACTAGGAGAGTAGCATAGCACCTCCATATGGCCTCACCACTGCTGTTGTGGCAGACTAATTTACCGAAGTATTAATTTCTCTTTTATGTTGGAAAGGGATGAAGGGGTGGTTGTAGTTCTGAGAATATTAGGAGTTTGAGCCCCACTAAGTCCACATAAGAAGGATGAACCTAGAACTCAGAGCTCCAAGACTTGCCTGGTGACCCCGAGGGGCCATCCTGTTTTAAGGAACGTAGGTTTGCACAAGCAGTATGCCCAAAGGCCCTTCCCAAATATTTCAGACCACACAAGACTCAAGACTTCCACAGGACTCTTGGGGTCCCCAACAATGACAGATTGCTTAACCCAGTCTGACAAGACAGGAGCTATAAACACAAATTTGATTTTGAAAAAAAATTTAATGTAACATTTCTCATGTTAGAGTATTATGGTAAGATCATATTCATATCTATCGGAGGATTTAAAAAAAAAACAAACAGAAATTCTGGGCAGGAATGGTGGCTCATGACTGTAATCCCAACACTTTGAGAGGCCGAGGTGGGAGGATCCCTTGAACCTAGGAGTTCGAGATTGCAGTGAGCTATGATGCCACTGTACTCCAGCCTGGGTGACAGAGTGAGACAGATGAAAGAAAGAGAGAAAGAGAGACAGAGAGAGAGAGAGAGAGAGGAGAAAGGGAGGAAGGAAGGAAGGAAGGAAGGAAAGAAGGAAGGAAGGAAGAGAGGGAGGGAGGGAGAGAGGGAATTCTGTCTATGACTGCTAAGGACCTTGTTTTTGTTCCAGGCTAGAGCAAAAGGAGGTACAAAACCAAATGCTAAGAAGCTGCTGCATTTACTGAGATAACCGTCTTCAGCTAATGTGAAGCACCTACAACTTACATAGAGTAAGTGGTAGAAAAATGTGTGTTGCAAGGAAAAGAAAAAAATATATGGCATTACTCTGGCCCCGATACAGACACCCATTTTTAAATAAAAATCTCTTATTTATCTGGTAAACTGTTGATGAAATGGCAACACGAGTGATAGATCTCGATTTTCTATCTCATCCATTGAGGATGTGTACTCTTTTGTTTTATTCATGCAGACAATCTGCCAGTCATCATTCACATTGCATCTGCTCTATAATATCCAATAGGCATTAAAAGGCATCCTGCACAGTGAAACCTCGAACAAAATAGTGTTACTATAACCACCATCTGGTCTGATATGAAGAGAGTGATTATTTACTTATGCCCTACCAGTCTAGAAATGCCTGGATCTGGCATGGCGGGGGAGGAATCAGTGTAATATTTTATACAGATCACACTTAGTTACCGTGAGCATGAAAACGTTTTGGTCAACAGTCTTGAAGGCCAAGACCAGCATAGTAGTGGCATAATCCATTGAGCACAAAAGGAACATATAAGAATTTATATTTGTCCTTTGTATCTTATAATCATCAATCACTTTATATGAATAGACACTGGTGCCTACATACTCTATATGTTAGATGATCATATGCCATACATGGAACATGGGGTAGCAATTTCAAAACTCAGAAAGGCTACAGGCATAACTCTTATTTGTGAGTTTGTCTTTGGTATATGAAGACATATCACTGTGCCCAGGTAGGTGAATGCGTAGATTATATTGTGTATTTCACAAAATGAACAAGAGAATTAAAAATATTCTTAAAATGAAATCTCAAATTGAAGTAGTCATGATAATACAAACATGTACAAACAGTTGGAGAACAGAAGAACTGATGCTTCCCCATTCTTCAGTTATGAGATGGAAACAAGGAAATTTTAAAAAAATTTTCTAGAAGTTGCGTAGAATTAAGGACAGTACATATTGGAAATTGCAAATTCATAGGCCCTCAAGACTGTTGACCAAAACATTGTAATGCTCATTTTAATTAGCTCATTTTAATGCTAAGTGTGATCTGTATAAAATATTACACCGATTCCTTCTCCCTCACACCAGATCCTTACATCTTTCTGGGGACAGACATTTCTAGACCGGCTTAGCACTAGTGAAGTTAAAGTTGAACTCTGTGCTAAGAATATAAAATTACACAGTCTATTAGCTAATAATGTTTGGATGCATCACCACCAGCAAGTCATTTTAAAACTGAAAAAAAAATTAGAATACTGTCAATAACCTAACTTTTAGTGAAGGAAAATATCTTTGTGCTATTAATTTTAGAAAATTATGTAAAAATATGGGCTACTTCACCTTTATCTTACTTTTTCACAGTTCCATTTTTGTGTCTGTTGTATCATGTACATGTGAGGGCGTGTGCAAAAATGTTTTACTGAGATAGGTAGATCAGTGAAGTTCAGAGACCACTAGTTTAATTCCAGATCAGGAATGTATGCAAAAATATTTCACAGAGGGCTCTATAATCATCCCCTGCAACACTATTGAACCCTTTTACCAAAACTAGGCCTCAAATATTTGATTAAAGAAAGTGTTCTGAGACTAAGAATAAAATTTTACAACCATCATTTTAGGCAGGCTTATACCTTCATTTTAAATTATCACCTTTTGGTCCAAATGCATTTAATTGTTCATTGAGGAAGGAGAAGGAGCAAGGGATAAAGGCTACTGTATCTTGATCTATCAGATTTTAAAAAATTTTTTGAACCACTCTCATATGCTAGGTCTGGATTGTCAATTATTGCTTCAGTGTTCTTTAGAGTAATAAAATATAAGCTTCCCAGAGGTGTCACTGTTCTTCTCTTTGCTGCACCCAATCTTTTCAGTACCACAAGGTAGAAGATGTCTCACAAGGATCAAACTAATAAAGTGTAAGAGGCGATTAAGAGAATACAATTTCATAAATATCTATAGGGCAAAGGGACCATGAGCCATAGGCTTTTTGAGCATATAATATGACTTTGTATCTTTCATGAGACTCTCTAAGTGCTTTATTTATTAGTCAGTATTATTATCCTTAGGTGACAGATGGAGACATTCACACCTAGAAAGATGTAATACATCCTCAAAGTCATACATTGCGTTGAGGGCGGAGCAGCAAGTGAAGGAGTTAGCGGACATCCTATAAAGCTATATTTATACCAGGGGTGCTTTGAGAAGAACTGGGCAAAGCTTGTGAATAAAAACAAGCTATTACAATCAGCCGCACTACCTATTTCTCTCTTTCCAAACAAAGGCCTGAGAGATGAGAGAGAAAAGAAAGGCAAAGCAATGTTTACAATATGCATGGGAAAAAAATGATATTTGACATTTGGTTTTAAAAACATTTTTTAGGTTATGTGAATAATTCCATGAACCAAAGTAGAAATTATGTAGTTTAACATCAGTTTACCCCACCCCCATTTCAATCTTACACAACCCCGCTGCCTCCACCAGACCTACCAGGTTTAGCACAGTGCTTTGTGTATATCCGTAGTTCACTTTCTCTTTATAGTGCCTGGCATATCATAATCACTCAAAGAACTGTTGAATGAATAAATGTAGATAGATATTAATATTAATATCTCCATCTTAGTGACACCAGCTCAGAACAATCAGCTTGGACAGTCATGCCATTCATTCATAGCAGAGCTGGGATTTTTAACTCTTTCTCCACCCTCTTGCTTTGCCTACCACTAAGAAGCTTATCAAGGAATCTCAACCCATGCAGTACTCTTTTAGAAGAGATCTAGAAAATAGAATGTTCTCTATTTTGTACATTTCCAGCAATGTTCAAGTATCTCATGATTTTTCTGCTATTCCATTTAACTCCACCTTAAATCCTACAGCTCATAAAACATGGCTTATGTCACTAGTTTAGCAATAAAACACCTTTACTATGACATCTCTAGTGCTATTATTTTATTTTACATATTTTGTAACCTCAACTCAAGTTTACATTCTTTGAAGGCAGAAGCCCTGTGTTACTTACATTTTTTAAATTACTTTCAGCATCTTGTGCTGTGTTGTTGACATAGTGGTAGATACTTAGCATTTGTAGTAAACTGATCATAATCAAAGAACAACATTACTACTGTTATTCTGTGATTGGACATCAAGAGAAAGCTTCCTTAACCCTCACACCCAGCATCTTATCACTATAAAGACCACTGAAACAATAGTTGATGGTCCAGGCCCAGCCATGAGATTGGTACACGTTTTTTTTAATCTGATGTATCAAAATACAATAACCTCTATCCCTTGCTCCTTCTTCTTCTTCAATAAGCAATTACACACATTTTAGGGAAAAGAAGATAATTCAAAAATTCAATACTTTTTGGTCCAGCTAACAGTGAGAAATGTTAAGGCCTTAGGGCCACGTTATACTGAATGGATATTTTTTTTTATAGCTCACATACCTTTTTATTTTTATATATAACCAAAGATAATGCATGTGACGGTTTTCCATATCTATGGTATGACTGGCAGTTTCCACTCTCCTCAAAGTGAAAGGAAAACACTGGTTATACCAAGGGTAGGTCATATAGCCAATGGGTTCCAATGGCCCAAGTACAAAATATAATGTACAAAAGTGTCCAGTGACTGCACTAATCTAATGAGGCTGGTGTGCCATGTTTGTCAAGTGTGGAGCTCTCTTGCACAGGTACTGACAGCTGGTAATGAGATACAGAAACTTTTTCCACATCAGTAGCCCAATCCCTCCTGGCTTGGAGCTGTCCCAAGATCTGTGCCCTCTGCTACCGTGTTTATGACACACAGCACAGCATGGGCTGCTGAACGTGCCCATTTTTCAGTTCAAGGGGTGCTCAACCATTTCTTCCACATCTTTACTCATGAGAAGTGATTTTCCAAATTCTTGGATCCTGGAAATGACCCAAACATAGCTCACTAAACTAATTTCTCTCAGAGTTTTTAAACGCATGTGCATTTGAGCATAAACACTATCCATATGTTTCTGATTCATTTACACTGAACTCATCAAAGGACTGTGTTGTAAGAGTTGTTTGATGTCCAAGAATACTTGAGGGGTTTTTTTAAGATGGAATTTTATACTTTCTTTCACCATTTTCCTTAGGAAGCCGAATGTTGTTGAGAGTAAACAAACATGGACCCCCAAGGATCTGGGGTTTATTCTTATATTCAAAATTCAGAAGGAGGTAACTCGGCAGGAAAGGCATCCCTGGCCTCTGGTGTAACCTGGCACTATTCCCCAAAGTGTAGGAAGTGCTTAGGGTGAACAGGGATACTCCTTTCAGGAGACCTTCTTTTACTTGGAGATTTATTCATTGGATCCCAAAAGGCCATTACAAAACCTAAAACAAATACAACTCTTGGAAGCTAGCTGGGGTCTCTTGCTTCCCAGTTTGAGGAGAAAGCTTTAAAATGTTTCTACTGCAATTGTTCTTCATTATTGGAAGAGAACCAGAGAAGGCTTTTTAGGAAACCCAGTATTTATTCACCTGAAAGCATCCGTGTCCTACATTTATATGCTAAAGAGACAAGACAAGCATCTGTGGCTACAGCTGAGAACTAATTAAGGTTGCTCTTTAACAAACATTATGTGGTTCATTCCATTCTTCCTTGATTAAGAACAAAAGAGAAGGAGAGTCATTTATTGTCATGAGTCACTTGAGGTACAATGGAAGGAATTCCAAAACGCTGCTGAGACAAAACAAAACTGACATTATGAAAGCCATGTCTAAACACTAATTTAAACTGTCAACTCACTACCAAGGAAGACTCTTGACAGACAGAGAATTAAAGCTTTAAAGACCTCATAAATCACTGAGGAGATTAGCACCAGCGTGAATGAGTTAAAATACACTTCTGCCTTCAGAGCGTTACAGGGGTTCAAAGCAGTCCTATAGGATTTGATGGGAAAATTAGTTGTAATAACTAGGAAGAGAAAAATTCCCAAATATAGCTTCTTGGGGATTTCACAGTGCAGGCTTCACCCACCACAGTTATTTCAGGTACCTGACTTAGTGAAATATAATATAGATGCTTTTGGGATCCAACATATAGCACAATAAAAATGACTTTTGAGAAATGTTGGAATCCAAAAACATTATTTACAAATACCAAACATTTTTCAAACCCCAAACCACTAAAAATAACTGAAATTTAACCTAAATGTATGACTCAGCAGTGGATTTAACACCATTTTGTCCTTGTTTCCCATTTATGCCTCTCTCCAAAAATCCTGTGGCATATATATGATTTTGGGGCAAGATTCATCATTTCTCCCACTGGATGGAGTTTCCAAGCTCTGTCGCCAGCACCAAGAAGTCTTCAGAGCAAACTTTGTTGGCATTTCCATCGATTTTAATATTTAAATATTACCCTCTTTAGGGTCTCTGAGTTAAAAAGAACCACTTACTCCAGTGAGAGAATCCTCGATCTTACCTAGTGCTGAAAAGAAAAGGCACAAGGAGATTCTGCTCCTAAGTGGTCTGCACCCAGAGAGGCTGAGATAGATGCCTCTGAGAGAGAGATCATTAACAGCTGGACAACCCTTTAGAAAATGAAGGAGCCAAAAATGTAACTCTACAGAGTTAAATCATACTCTGGTAACTCTTCCCCCCACTCCCGAGGTCTGACTAATCATTTCTTTACAGGTTCTTTCTCGAAGACTCCACAAAATAAATTTTTTTCCCCTAAGTCCTTGGTGCACTCTAGATGATCTCTTTGACTTGGATCTTATCACATCTGTGCCTGTCCAGAAATGATTTTCTGAAGCATATGTTCATGTGGTCTCTTCCTTCCCCAAATTGGAAAGTTTTGCATGCAGTAATTTTATTCCATTCTTTGATTTTTTTTTTCCTTTTGGCTTAAGTCAAAGTGATACAGAAATCCACATGGAGAAGAGTGGAATATAATTGCTACAGCCTTCAGACTGAATCCTCTCTTAGCCAGGATACGGCGGCTGTGTCCTCTTTTCCTCTCCGGCTCTTCTCTTCTCTCCCTATGCTCCCCCTATTAGTGACAGTTGTCAGAAACAGTCAGAAATAGGTTTAAGTGGCTAAGAGAGAGCACCAAGAGAACATTTAAGGAAGTATCTTGAGGTGAACCAGTTGATTCAACCATATATATCCAGCTGTAGGACACTCAGTCCCAAGTTCCAAGACATAAAACTTAGACCCATCTTGGACACAGGTCTCAGGACTCCTTTAAGGATGTGAATTGCTCCAGAAGCTTTTTGTCTAGGGTCATATCTCTGTCAGTCTTCTGCCCAATGGGAATCTTAGTTTAACGTTTTAGTGGTGCTACAGAGGTTGAGTTACAGTCACGTGACTCTAAATTCAGTTCTGTAATGCCAAAACTATCGCACTTTATTCTTTTTTGGAAGAGAGGCAGGAAGTGTGCAATGTAATCGTGATCCCTCCTCGGGCTCCCCTTCCATGATCCCAAATAGAACTCAGGTTGGAAACTGCAAAAGTGGTCTCAAGAAAACTGTTGTAAAGGGCATCCTGGTTCTTTGAATGTAAACTTGATCACATGCCCATAAATTTCTACAGAGTCCCAGATTCATCCCCAAGCTACTCTGGTGGATTATAAGATGAAAAGAGAGACACTCAACTCCATCCCTCACCAGGAAGAAGACTACCACTCTTTCTCATGCCTTCTGAACCTACTCTGATCAGCAAGAGATGATTGCCCCAAAACTCCCACATGAGAATCATGAGAGGGGCCTTGTCTGAAAAGTGGAAGAAAAACTCAATAATGAACTTTACCTGAGCATGGTACCGTCAGAAAGGAAACCAAATTATTAAGCTCTGCCTCTGGATACTATACCATTGTCTGCTTTTCACTGACCACTGGCTCTTGAGACTGAAGCTGCATGAAAACTCCACTAGTCCAATTCAAATAACTTGTCATTATTTCCAGGTTCTTAATTCATCATAAACCCATAGATCTTTTCAAGCTCTTATGGTTCCTTTTAAACTTTAGTTTATAGAAGAGTATACCAGGTATTAGGCAGAAACTCTGGCATCAGAAAAGGGCTGGCTTGCCAGCACTTGAAGTGCAGATGAGTGATTTGATTTGGTTACACTATTTAAAGTTCTGAGTGCAGGGAACACCTTGCATAGCCAGAAACCATGTTTTCTGTTTATAGGTCAAATGACTAGCCTTGTAGAGAATCATAAAGATCATATTTGGATTTGGCCATCTCTTGCTAACATTCCTCCTGTGTTTGTAAACACTGCTGACTTTGACCCCAGTCTCTCACAAATCCATGACTGACACCAAACAGCCACAGAGGAGCTGCAGAACATAATGTGATTCTGTAATGCAAAACAGGATGACTTGCTAAGTGTGCAGATCTGGAGAGAATTCCTGACATAATCCTTCTTACGTCTTTCATGATAATTATTTCCATCTTCAGAATACATGGAAACAGTGGTCCCTTGGACATTGTTTCTAGAGGCTGGACTGAAATCCCTTCTGCTGGGCTAACTGTATGTGATAAGGCACTGGGGCCATGAGTATGCCAGCAGAATGCACTAGGACCTGCAAAGGTGAGAATGAGCTAAGAAAACCTAGCGACTAGCTGTGGAGATGCTGCAGCAGAAGGAAATGTATAAAATAGCAACTACTCTTCCAAATACTGGAAATCAGCTCTAGTCATAGCTTACTCATCCACGTACACATTTAAAACACTGATTGAGAGCCTACTATGTGCCATAAGCATTTACGAGGGACTATGATTTGAAATGCATTAGTAATCTCACATTTTTAATAGTCATGCTAAAACAAATTCAGCTCACCTCTCAGAGCATAGACATAGAGTCTTCATAGTGGACTGGAAGTGTTTATTTAAAACATAGTTACTATTTTTAAACAGGTAAAAACATAGAACATTGGGAAAGGCTGAAAATGGGAGGGGCCTAACCCAATTAGTAAACAAAGGAAAAAGAATTGAATCCTGGTTCCTACCTAATCAGCGCTTCGTAGAAATGCAGTCTAGAACCAGCTCTCCCTAATTTCAGTTGTCAGGGCAGCCTTCACATAACGCTTCTTCCTAGGGAGTCAGCTCTGTAAAGCAGATGTGTAAAGATCCTTGTTTCTTTTAATTAAAAACCCCAGCCTACTGAAGTTTTGGGGAAACCAAGAAAGTGGGCATAAGGCTAAGGTCCTAAGTTATATTCCTTGCGTTCCATATCTAATGGACTTCCAGGAGAATGTCACCATGGTCATTTATACAGTCCTGCAGAATACCATGAGAAAGCAAAAGAGCATGATCGGATCCGGGGCAAGGATGGAATCATGGACACATTTTACTCATATCATTGTCACCATTTGTACCTCAGAGATGAGAATTTCATATCTCAAAGACCTTATAATCAGTCCAATAAATAACTATTTCTTGACTTTGTTGCTGAGTCATATAATATAATCCAAAACAATAGAGAGGAGTAAAAAGTGGAGGCTTGAACCCAGGGAAGAATAAAATAATAGCATGACAATAAACACCCATATCTGTAGAACACTACTGTGTGCCGTTTTTTAAAATTAAACATCATTTCATTTTTTTTCTTACAACAATCCTATGAGCTAGACATTATTAATCCTTCTGGCATCTAGGACAAAGGAGTGATGGAGAACAAGATTTGCCTAAAATTCCACTGATCCCACACTTCTAAGACCGGTACTCCTTCCCTCACAAGGCACTGTTGAAGTTGTGTTTGGAGACTTTGCACAGTAAAATACATATACAGTTCAGGGAAATATGCAATGTGGAAATGATATTTTTACCTTTGCATAGCCATAATAGTACCAAATCCTCATTTATACAGGGATCTTATAACATGCAATGCAACATCTGAAAACTAATATTTTGCCACTTCCCTGTGAGATATTTTCTCAATGAGGGAACTTTGGATACATAAATCTTTTTTTTTTTTTTTTTGACGGAATCTTGCTCTGTCACCAGGCTGGAGTGCAGTGGCGCAATCTCAGCTCACTGCAACCTTCACCTCCCGGGTTCAATCAACTCCCCTGCCTCAGCCTCCCGAGTAGCTGGGACTACAGGCACATGCCACCACGCCCAGCTAATTTTTTGTATTTTAGTAGAGATGGGGTTTCACTATGTTGGCCAGGATGGTCTCAATCTCCTGACCTCATGATCTGCCTGCCTCGGCCTCCCAATTTGCTGGGATACAAGGTGTGAGCCACCGCACCTGGCCAATACATAAATTTTAATAACTGTGTAGTCTGTACCAGATACAGAGAAAAACTTACTCTCCAACAGTCCAGGAAACCTAATCTAATCCAAGACTTAAGACTACAGCTGCTTTGCTCAAATTTCTTATCTTTATCTTTTCTTCTCTCTTAGGAAATGTTAAATATGACCTTAGAAACTCCATACACTTTCTTTTTACATGGCAACTACTCTGCCCCATATGCTAGAAAGAACAAAATTGATGTTGCTGTTATCTTTGCATGGAAATGCAATTCTAAGTCCTTCACAATATGGAATGCACTGAACAATGGATTATCAGGCTTTGCAGATGATATTTTACCAGTCCTTCAATGGTAATTTACTAAGCCCACTTCACATAGAGAGAAAACAAAGGTCCACCCAGAAATAGTTTAAGGTGAGAAATTTGTGGTAGAAGTGTTGGCCGAACAAAATCTTTCAGGTAATATTTTATTACCAACATATCTTTATATCTTTTCAGAAAGCCAGATCTAGATAACATATAGTACAGCTAAAAAATCCAGATACTACATATTATCTAGCTAAAAAGAAAGACATACAACTGAGAGAGACAAGGTAATTTGATTTTTTAATTTTTAATTAAAGGACATCCTAAAATTAAATATGATAATTTTTTAAAAAAGAAAAAGCTAAGCATGAGCTGAACCTGAAATCAGAAAGCTCTTTAGATGAGAAGCTTCTTCAGAGTTCTTATGAACAGTACGTTTCAAGTCTGCTAAAAAGAATAATTAAAATTCAGGCTGGGTGCAGTGGCTCACGGCTGTAAGCCCAGCACTTTGGGAGGCCGAGGTGGGCAGATCACCTGAGGTCAGGAGTTTGAAACCAGCCTGGCCAACATGGCGAAATCCCGTCTCTACTAAAAATAAAAAAAAATTTAGCTGGACGTGGTGGGGGGTGCCTGTAATCCCAGCCATTCGGGAGGCTGAGGCAGGAGAATTGCATGAACCCTGGAGGCAGAGGTTGCAGTGAGCCAAGATCGTGCCACTGCACTCCAGCCTGGGTGACAGAGCAAGGCTCTGTCTCAAAAAAAAAAAAGAATAATTAAAATTCAGTTCAAGTTAACAAATTCATAGTAAGCATGGACCATTACGCAGGAATCATGCTAGGTACTAAGTAAGTGGTTAAAAGGATACCAAGAAATTTAAGAGTTATGTATTGCCACTGAGGAATTTATAATCTCTAAGAACAGTGACTATCTTCTTTTTGCTATTTTCCTCTTTTCTAGTAAAGAAATGTAATAACACAAAATTAGACCAGTTTTGGTTATCTTATCTAGCACAGAATGGAGGTGTAACTTAATCATTTAAGTCTGAAAAAATGGTATGCTGAACTAGGTATCTTAGATTTTTCTATAGGTTCTTGGTTAAAAATATACATATAATGTATGTGTGTATATATACTTTATACATATGTGTGTATATATATAATGTATGTGTGTATATATATATTTTATACATATGTGTATATATATAATGTGTGTGTATATATTTTATACATATGTGTATATGTATACACATATCATATATTTTTTACCTAGATATACACATATATATATATATATTAGAAAGGTCAAGGCTTATATTTAACTAGGATAAGTCTTTTAAAATTCTACTTCCCACTTTCCATTTTAAGTTTAGGAAAATAATATATGCCACATCTTTCCTCACCTAAGGAAATAGCTAAATATTTAAACTTTCTTTTGAGGCAGAAACCTTAAAAATATAATGTACTTTAATTATCATCACATAGTAATTGTACAGTTAAAAATAGAAGGAAAGGAAGGGAGAGCTTAGTATTCAACAAGTTACTATAATGCTAAGGGTTAATACATTGCTGGGTTAATACATTGCTAAGTTAATATATTGCTAAGTCATTCATTAATGACTGAATGGCTCCTCTCAGCTTACAGTTCAGCAATTCACAATTGATTTCTATTTTTATAAAATTATGTCATCATAAATATTCTATTTAGATTTAGAGTTTGTCTTAAAACACTTTGAACTTCACTCCAGTTAACGAAGGGAAAAATATACAAAGAAAGCCAATTGTTTAATATACTTCTTGAGATAAAATATGAAATTAAAATTTGAATACAGTCCAACTATTACAGCAATATTGGATCAGAAGCTAAACTTTAATGACAACCGAGATGAAGAAGGTAGGTTCAAAATGTTTGTTCTAAGAAAACCTACCCACTTACAGAATTAGACACCATTCCAGGAAAACTTAGCATGGGGCAGGAAGTACTGGGGAGGGGTGGGTAGTACAAATTAGAAGCTATGAGGAATACCAAAGAGTTAAGAGACAAGATTTTTCCTTTTGGAGTTTACTACCTTTTTAAGAACAAAAGAAACATGTGAAGTGACCAAAGAACATCTTCACAGAGTAGAAGCGAGATGGGAGGGAGGACAAAATTCAGGGAAGAGGCAATCAGTGACACCTGTCTTCACTGTCTTTCAATAATGTCAATAAATCTCAAATACTGGGGATGAGTGGTAAAAGATTCTTGGGAGATTAAGAAGAATAGAGTTAAAAATCTATATGCAGATATGAATTTTCCTTCCGTAACCCTGGAATAGATTATCATAATGGTAATTTTTCAATACATGGTTATCTGTTAGTGCCACTATTATTATTTTTATAAAAATTATAATCAGATTGTATATTAACGATAAAGAGTAACTTCACACAGCCCTACTAATCTTCCCTAATTTGAAGGGGTCATTGCTTAAATAATGGTAGGTCATAGGTAGGGTGACCACATGATCTGGTTGACTAAGACAGTCTTAGTTTGCACCAATTGTCAATAATTGAGCACTCTTCTGTTCTCATAATTATCCTGATTTGGATGATGAGTACTATGGTGATCTAGTCATAGGACAGATTAAGAAATTTCTAACTGGAATCTCCTTTATCCCCACCAATTAGTAGCCTTTCAAAAGCAGCACAGTGGGCAAGGACAGGAGTGGACTTACCAGAACACAAACTTAGAGGCAATGTTTCCTCCAGGGCTCAACTTCTCCCTGATGCTAGAAGCATTGGTATCCAGCAGGTAAACACATCTCCACCTGTAACTGAAGTGGAGGACAGGTAAATGTAGATATCAAGAGTTGGCCCCACCATAGAAGATGTCACCAAAGATGGAGAAGAAAGCACAGATCCTGGTCAATCCATGATTCTTTCACTTCCTTAAAGGTGCTGAATCACTGAACTGATGATATAAACTTAAATCAATCAGAACCTCACCTTAAGAGATGAGAGAAGAATTCAAACACAACCCAGAAAATGGCAAGGGAATCCAAGGAAACCTCACTAATACTCTTTTGGGGGCAAATCCAAACTTCAGATAGCTTCTTATCCTATAATTATTAACCTTAAAATAATAACAATAATATAAAATAAGACATGGTAGAGAGCTATGTTTTAGAAATAATTAATTATAAGTAACTCAGGTCAAGTTTAAATAACCTCTGCTTAATATACTCAAGGAAATTCAGGAATACAAGAAATCTGTGAAACAAGAGATAAAGTGAGAAGAAAACCAACTGAAATGAAAATGAAGGGGGCTAAGAGGCACAAAAATGTTTCTAAAACTACAGAAAAATAGAACACTTTGAATAAACATAAGTAAATTTAGTATTAGCTTTGAAATTAACATATAAATAGTAAAAATTAGAATTAACCTAGTAAAAGCAAAATCAATGATATAGAAGGCAGAACTAAGAAGCATTCTGTGAATGGTAAAAAAGGCAAGGAAATTAAATCAACAAGAGTGAAGATTACAGACGAGAAAATTGACAAAGGAAAACTAATCAGTACATATAAAGACAAATGGAACAGATTGAACAAAGATAAAAAAGAAGAAAATTTTCTTAATATGAGAAAGCTATCATTATATAGATTAAAATACCATACCATTAATCAGATAAATTTAATAAAAAGAAAATAAACCCAGACTTTAATGAAAATTAAGTTTTAAGTAAAAATAATCCTAAAATCATTAAGACAAAAAAATTTACCTATTAGATATTTTTCTACACTCAATGCTGGAATATCATGAAGTGGCAACAATTTTATAAAAGGCTCTTACCCACAATTTTACATTAAGCAGCACAAAGAGATTCTCAGATATATACAAATTTACAATTATAATGATTAACCTATTTTTCTTCAAAGTTATACCCTCAAAATGAAATAAAATAAAAGATCAGAAAATATAGAAATAGTGATAGCAAATGACATGTGGTAACTGGAAGACATTTACACATAAAACTAATTTAAGGGGTGGAATAATTTAAGACGGCGAATAGAAGCCTACATTGTCTGTAACGCCCACAGGAACATCAAATTTTAACAACTATCTGTGCACAGAAAAGCCCCATCACAAGAACCAAAAATCAGGTGAGCAATCACAGTACCTAGTTTTAACTTCATATCATTGAAAGAGGCATTGAGGAAGGTCAGAGACACAGTCGTGAATCACCAAAGCCACTCTTACCCTACACCCTGGCAGCAGCTGTGCAGCACAGACAGTCTGTGCACTTGACAGACGGATGGTGCAGTGACTGGGGAACATTACATTGAACTCAGTGCTGACCTGATGTAGCAAAGAGTAAAGATGTGCTGGGCCCAGCCAGTGCCTGTGCAAGAAGGGAGCATTTGGACAAGAGCTAGCTAGAGGGGAATTGCCCATTTCAGCAATCAGAACTCGAGTTTCTTAGCAAGCCTTGCCACCGCAGGCCAAAGTGCCCTGGGGTCCTAGGTAAACTTGAAAGACAATCTAGGACACAAGGACTACAATTCCTAGGCAACTCTCTAGTGCTGGGCCGGGCTCAGAGCCAGAAGACTAGGGTGGCATGTGACCTAGGGAGACACCAGCCAGGGCAGCTAAAGGAATGCTTGTGCCATCCATTCCCCAAACCCAGGCAGTGTGGCTCACAGCCACAACATTGTCTCTTTTCTTCTATTTAAGGGATGAAGGCAAAGAGTAAAGAAAATTTTGACTTGCATTTTGGATTCTAGCTCAGCTGCAATATGATAGGACACCAGGCAGAGTCATGAGGCCCCCATTTCAAGCCCTAGCTCTCAAAAGACATTTCTAGACCAAAGAGAACTTGCTGCCTTGAAGGTAGGACCCAGTCCTGGCAACATTCATCACTGGTTGACTAAACAGCTCTTGGGTCGTAAATAACCAGCAGTGATAGCCAGGTAGCATATCATGGGCCTTGGGGTCTGAGACATGCTAACTACAGAAGTGACCCAGCACATTCCCAGTTGTGGTGGTTGCAGAGACTCCTTGAGTTTGGGAAAAGCAGAGGAAAAAGTAAAGGGGACTTTGTCTTGCACCTTAGGTAGCAGCTTGGCCCCAGTCAGGTAGAGCAACAAGCAGGACTTTGGAATCCCCAAGTCTAGGCTTAGGCTCTTGGACAGCATTTCTGGGCCTTCCCTGGGCTACCGGGGAGTCCAGTTCCCTGAAGGGTGAATCCCAGGCTTGACAATGTTCACCATAAGCTGACTGAAGAGCTCTTGGATTTTAAGTGAACATTGGTGGTGGCCTGGAAGAACCACCCTGCCGCAAGGGGCCCATGCTGGTGGTACCCACTGGGAGAGGCCCCTCTGCCTGCAGAAAGGGAAAGGAAGAGTGGGAAGGACTTTATATTGTGGTTTGAGTGCTACTGTAACCATAGTATGATAGACCATAGGGCAAATTTCTAACATTTTTTACTCTAATTCCTGGCTCCCAGACAACATCTCTGAGCCCACCCAATGTCTGGGGAACTTGCTGCCCTGAAAGGAAGAACATAAACGTGGCTGGCTTCACCACCTGCTGATTATAGAGCCTTAGGGTCTTGAGTGCACATAATGGGTAGACAGGTAATGATTACAGTGTGCCTTGGACAAGACCTAGTGCTGTGCTGGCTTCAGGTCTGACCCAGCACAGCCCCAGTGGTGATCGCCATAGGGATGTTTGCACCATCACACACCCAGTTCCAGATGGCTCAGCACAGAGAAAGAGACTGCATTTGCTTGAGAGAAAGTAAGGGAAAAGAACAATAGTCTCTGCCTGGTAATCCAGAGAATTCTTCCAGGTCTTATCCAAGACCACCAAGGCAGTACCTCTTTGAGTCTACAAAAACTCACAGCTATATTGGCTTGGGTCCCAAGTCTCTCTGAATATCTGAAAAGCCTTCTGAAGAAGGATGGGCACAAACAAGCCCAGAATGTAAAAACTACAATAAAGATCTAACTCTTCAATGCCCAGACACCGACAAATATCTACAAGCATCAAGATCACCTAGGAAAATGTGACCTCACCAAACAAACTAAATAAGGTACTAGGGACCAATGCTGGAGAAAGAAAGACATGTGACTTTTCAGTCAGGGAATTAAAAATACCTATGTTGGGCAAACTCAAAGAAATTCCAGATGACACAGAGAAGGAATTCAGAATTCTCTGAGATAAATTTAACCAAAAGATTAAAATAATTTAAAAGAATCAAGCACACATGCTAGAGTCAAAAATGCAATTGATGTACTGAAGAATGCATCAGAGACACTTACTAGCAGAATTGATCAAACAGAAGAAAGAATTAGTGAGCTTGAAGGCAGGTTATTCAAACTCTCTGGCTGAAAATACCCAGTCAGAAGATATAAAAAGAAAAAGAATAAAAAACAAAAAACATGCCCACAGGACCTAGAAAATAGCCTCAAAAGGGCAAATCTAAGAGTTACTGAACTTAAAGAGGAGATAGAGAAAAAGATAGGGGTAGAAAGTTTATTCAAAGGGATAATATCAGAGAACTTTCCAAACTTAAAGACATTGACATTCAAGTACAAGAAGGTTATAGAACACCAAGCAGATTTAACCTAAAGAAGACTACCTCAAGGTATCTAATAAATCAAACTCCCTGATATGGTTTGGCTGTGTCCCCACCCAAATCTCATCTTGAATTATAGCTCCCATTATCCCCACATGCCATGGGAGGGACATGGGAGGAGGTAATTGAATCATGGGGTTGGGTTTTCCTGTGCTGTTCTCGTGATAGTGAACAAGTCTCATGAGATCCGATGGTTTTATAAATGGCAGTTCTCCTTCACATGCTGTCTTGTCTGCTGCCCTGTAAGACATGCCTTGCTCCTCTTTTGTCTTCTGCCATGATTGTGAGACCTCCCTAGCTATATGGAATTAAACCTCTTTCCTTTATAAATTACCCATTCTCAGGTATATCTTTATTAGCAGCATGAGAATGAATAATACAATAAATTGGTACTGGGTAGTGGGGCACTGCTATAAAGATACCCCAAAATGTGGAAGTAACTTTGGAACTGGGTAACAGGGAGAGGTTGGAAAAGTTTGGAGGGCTCAGAAGAAGATAGGAAAATGTGGGAAACCTTGGAACTTCCTAGAGAATAGCTTTGACCAAAATGCTGATAGTGATATGGATAATAAGGTCCAGGCTGAGGTGGTCTTAGATGGAGATGAGGAACTTTCTGGGAGCTGGAGCAAAGGTCACTCTTGCTATGCAAAGAGACTGGTGGCATTTTGCCCCTGCCCTAGAAATCTGTGGAACTTTTGAACTTGATTTAGGGTATGATTAGGGTATCTGGGGAAGAAACTTCTAAGCAGCAAAGCATTCAAGAGGAAGGAGAGCATTAAAGTTTGGAAAATTTGCAGCCTGACAATGTGATAGAAAAGAAAAACCCATTTTCTGGGGAGAAATTCAAGTCAGCTGCAGAAATTTGCATAAGTAAAAAGGAGCCAAATGCTAATCACCCAGACAATGGGGAAAATATCTCCAGGGCATGTCAGAGGCCTTCACAGCAGCCCCTCCCATCACAGGCCTGGAGGCCTAGGAGGAAAACATGTTTTTGTGGACCAGACCCAGGGCATCTCTGCTCTATGCAGACAGAGAGTAGAATGTTGGTTACCAGAGGCTGGGAAGGGCAATGGGAGCTGTCGGGGAGGTAAGGATGGTTAATGGATACAGAAAAATAGTTTGAAAGATACCTAGTATTTCATAGCACAACAGGGTGACTATAGTCAAAATAATTTAATTGTACATTTTTAAAATAACTAAAAGAGTATGATTGGATTGTTTGTAACACAAAGAATAAATGCCTGAGGGGTTGGATACCCTAATTGCCCTGAAGTAATTATTATGCATTGCATGCCTGTATCAAAATACCTCATATATCACATAAATATATACATCCACTATATACCCACAAAGGTTAAAAATAAAAACATTTTCAAGCCAAAATATTAAATAATAGATATCATACTAAAAGCAATATTTTAGTAATAATTAACATAATCTAATTATTTCTATTATAAATTCAATAAAAATTGGATGGGAAATTCAATGAGAAAGAGGAGGTTTAAAGCAAATGAAGGTAGATGTTTTGCACATTATAAATATAAAAAATCATGTGTGTTTTTTGATTATCTTGTTGTTAAATTCTAGATAAATTGAATTAGGACATAAAACTTTAAATGAAAAATAAATGCAGTTAGCATGACAAAGTATTGATTAACAAAGGAACAATCAAGAGGACAGTAAAGGAAATATGAAATAAGGTAACAGAAGTGAGAACAAATACAGTTCTGATAATAATGCTTAACTACAATTTAAAGAAAAACAGCACCCAGAATGAGTCAAAAATAAATATACATATCAGTTGGATAAATGTTTAAAGTAACTGAATGAATAGAGACACACACAACCACTGCAAACTAAAATATAAAATATCTCAATATATTTACATCAGATGAAATAAAATTCAAGTCAAAACATTTTTTAAAATGTAAACTACTGAGAACAGAGATACAACATATCAGAATTTCTGGGACGCAGCTAAGACAGTGTTTAGAAGGGAAATTTATAGCACTAAATGCTTACATTAAAAGGTTAAAAAGACCTCAAAGTAATAACCTAACATCACAACTGGAATAACTGGAGAAACAAGAGCAAACTAACCCCAAAGCAAGCAGAAGACAAGAAATAACCAAAATCAGAGCTGAACTGAAGGAAATTTAAAGGCAAAAAAAATACAAAAGATCAGTGAATATAGTAGTTGGTTCTTTGAAACCATTAATAAAAGAGACCACTAGCTAGTCTAATAAAGCAAAAGAGAAGATCTAAATAAACACAATTAGAAATGACAAAGGCAACATTACCACTGACCCCCACAGAAATACAAAAGCCCCTCAGAAACTACTACAAACACCTCTATGCACACAAACTAGAAAATGTAGAAGAAATGAATAAATTCCCAGACACATACAATCTCCCAAGACTGAACCAGAAAGAAATTGAATCCTTAAACAGACTAATAATGAGTTCTGAAATTGAATAAGTAAGCATGGTGGCTCACGCCTGTAATCCCAATACTTTGGAAGGCAGAGGTGGGTGGATCACCTGAGGTCAGGAGTTTGAGACCAACCTGGCCAACATGGTGAAGCCCTGTCTCTACCAAAAATACAAAAATTAGCTGGGCGTGGTGGTGGGTGCCTGTAATCCCAGCTACTCAGGAGGCTGAGGCAGGAGAATCGCTTGAGCCCAGGAGGTGTAGGTTGCAGTGAGCTGAGATTGTGCCATTGCACTCCAGTGTGGGTGACAAGAGTGAGACTCAGTCTCAAAAAAAGAAAAAAAAAAAGAAAAAAGGAAGCCTACTGTATTAGTCTGTTTTTACACTGCTAGAAAGAATACCTGAGACTGGGTAGTTTATAAACAAAAGAGGTTTAATTGACTCACAGTTCTTCATGGCTGGGGAGGCCTCAAGAAACTTACAATCATGGTGGAAGACAAAGAGGAGGCTGGGAACTTCTCACAAGGTGGCAGGAGAGAGGGGACAGCAGGGGAAACTACCACTTATAAAACCATTAATTCTGTAAGAACTCACTATCACAAGAACAGCATGGGGGAAACCACCCCCGTGATCCAATCACCTCCCATTAGGTCCCTCCCTTGACTCATGGGGATTACAATTCAAGATGAGATTTGGGTGGGGACACAAAGCCAAACCATATTACCTGCCAATCAAAAAAAGCTCAGGACCAGACAGATTTATAGCCAAATTCTACCAGATGTATAAAGAAGAGCTGGTACCTTTCTTACTGAAAGTATTCCCCAAAATTGTGGAAGAGGGACTCCTCCCCAACTCATTCTATGAGGCCAGCGTCATCCTGGTACTAAAACCTGGCAGAGACACACACACAAAAAGGAAAACTTCAAGCTACTGGTATAAAAACAGATGCAAAGGCCAATGGAACAGAATAGAGAGCGAAGAAATAATGTTACACACCTAAAACCATCTGATCTTTGACAAGGCCAACAAACACAAGCAATGGGGAAAGGACTCCTTATTTAATAAATGGTGCTGGAATAACTGGCTAGTCATTTGCAGAAGATCAAAACTGGACCTCTTCCTTACACCATATCCAAAAATCAACTCAAGATGACTTAAAGACTTAACTGTAAAACCTAAAGTTCTGACAACCCTGGAAGGCAACCTAGGCAGTACCATTCTGGACATATGACCTGACAAAGAATTCATGATGAAGACACCAAATGCAATTGCAACAAAACCAAAAATTGACAAATGGGATCTAATTAAACTTAAGAGCTTCTGCATGGCCAAAGAAACTATCAAAATAGGAAATAAACTACCTGCAGGATGCGAGAAAATATTTGGAAACTATGCATGTGACAAAGGTCTAATATCCAGCATCTATATGAAACTTAAATAAATTAAGAAGCAAAAAACAAACAACTCTATTCAACCCCCTTAGAAAGTGGGCAATGGGCATGAACAGATACTTCTCAAAAGGAGACATATATACAGGTAACAAGCCTATGAAAAAATGCTCAACATCACTAATCAAGAGAAATGCAAATCAAAACCACAATGAGATACCATTTCACACCAGTCAGAATGGCTATTATTAAAAAGTTAAAAACTAACTGATTCTGGGGGGGTTGTGAGAAAAGGGAACTCATATATACTGCTGAAGGGAGTGTCAATTAGTTCATCCATTGTGAAAAGCAGTGTGGTGATTCCTCAAAAAGCTAAAAACAGAACTACCATTTGACCCAGCAATCCCATTACTGAGTATACACCCAAAGGAATATAAATATTTCTACCATAAAGCCACATGCACATGAATGTTCATTGCAGCACTATTCACAATAACAAAGACATGGATTCATCCTAAATGCCCATCAGTGGTAGACTGGCTAAAGAAAATGTGGTGCATATACACCATGGAATACTATGCAGCCACAAAAAAGAATGACATCATACCCTTAGCAGCAACATGGTGGAGCCGGAGGCCATAATCCTAAGCAAACTAAGACAGGAACAGAAGTCCAAATACCACGTGTTCTCACTTATAAATAGGAGCTAAACAATGAGAACATGTGGACACTAAGAGGTGAACAATCAACACTGGGGCCTACTTGAGGGTGAAGGGTGGGAGAAGGGAGAGGATCAAAAAATACCTATTGGGTACTACACTTATTACCTGGGTGACAAAATAATATGTATATCAAACCCCTGTGACATGCAGTTTACCTATGTAACAAACTCTGTACATGTACTCCTGAACCTAAAATAACATTTAAAATAAAAAAGAATTTAAATTTGGTCATTCTGTACTAATAAAAAGCACATTTCTCCATGGGAATATGTTATCTACATTAATGTGATAAGTAATTCATAAGGAAAACAATGTCAGGACTAATGGAAACACATTAATAATTAATAGTTGGCAGTTGCTTCTTGATAGATCAAATAGGCAAAAATAAGAATATAAACCGTTTCAATTATGTAATTTAAAATGTTTGTAATAAATATTTACCAAGCTCATTACTCTCATGGTAGAAAATACACTTCCTTTTCAACTATCTAGATAGCTTTTCCTCAAAAATTAATTTCACAGCATGTGAAAAAGAAAAACTTATTCCCTAAAGGCATAAATTATGTACTATGTCTTATAATCACAGTGAAATAGAATAAGCAATTGCTAACAATGCATAAACAAATAAACATGTCAAAAACCTTTCTTTGTAATCCAAAATTCTTCACCAGGACAAACTATAAATCACAAATGAGGAAAAAATACAGATATTTTGATACACAGGAACACAAGGATGATCAGTTAGAGTTACATGAGGAATTCTCCAGCAAACTCAGAGTTAACAATAAGGAAGAAGACAGCTCAAAATCACAGACTAATGAAAAGAAACCAGAGTGGCTGTTGGACAACGGGCCTTGAAAGCAATCACCCTCAATTAGAACAGTTGGCTCCAAATAAACAGGAAATTATAAGCCCCAAATATCTTGATTCAGCCTTATTTAAAACTACCGGTGAAATTATGCATCACAAGGCAAAATGGTATTTAAACTAGAACCATAAAGATGAAAAATATTATTGACACAAACTTTTGTTTTAAAGGTGAAGGAGGTTGAAAAATTTACTTAGAGGAATAAAAAGCCTTAGCCAAGAGGGCAAAGTTTCTCTATCATTTATATTTATGTTTTATTTTGCATCAAGAGATTTAGTTTTTAACTAGTCTGTTTACCAAGAGAAAAAGTGTTTCCAGTGATTTTCAAATAATCATCTCCCATGGATTGTAACCTGTGACCTTAGGACTGTGTATGTGTGTTATTGGAAACTGCACTTGTTGGAATGTTTTGTCCTTAAAACATGAATTGGCTCACCAACCTTGTGATAATTAATCCATCAACTATGTCCTCATGGATCTTGTTAAAACTAATCTAACTAGTATAGAAACCATAGATTCTCCCGCAAATTAGAAAGTATATTTTTAGATTTTCTTATAAGACATTTTGCAAATAAAATAGATTTTATAACTCATTCATTTTTAAAATGCAAAGCAAAATATCTCAAAGCTCCAAAAAAATTATTGTCAAGAAGAAAAAAAGTGAATTCCAAGCAAAAAACAGAATAACTAAGACTCTGCATAATATTAGTGCATAGTGAGCAAAGCATATGTTTCTTCTTCTGAAAGAAAAAAGAATAGCAAGGAGAAATTAAAGGAAAAATACAACTGTATAAGAAAGTCAGGGTCTAATTATGAAGTAAACTAAGATGTGAATTAATTGTGAACATTCAATGGAATGCAAGAAAAGACATGGATATTTGTTATTTGATGAAATGGACACAACTTTGGACTAATAGAGAAGGAAATGAAGTACCAGCATACTACTGGGCTCCATGAAGAACAATATTTATGTGGTTATAATATCGTATGTAAGCAACATAAATCTTAAGTTCAAATTATAGAATACATCTATAAGGAAATCACTCAGAAATTAAATGTAGTTACATAGCAAATTTTGACAACGTGAAATTAAAGATAGAAGAGAGTATGGAAAGTGAAAAAAAAGTGTAGGGGCTATTTGCCCAAACTAAAGCAGCCAGGAATGATAAGTTTAAGTATAATGCTTAAAGGTATAATGCAAACCAATGGAATGAGAAAAATAACTTCTAAAATTGGGATAAAGCCTTCATTCCGATATTTGGTTCCTCTGGCATAATAACCAATGACCACCACTAAGGCAAGGCCTGCTTGTTGATAAACCCATCTATAACCAGACAGCTTTCAGTCATCCTTTGTAATCATAGGGTAAGAACGGACAATCAAAGATCACCAGAAATTAGAAGAAAATCTGCAATATCAAAGAGAAAGGCCAAGAGGAAAAAATATATACTGCTTTTGTAGAGATGGAGAAACCTGGAAAAATCAGATTTAATTAACATCCATAGAGTCACAAGAATATTTTATCCTCCAATTTAAAAATGATGCTAATATCAGATAAAATAAAAACCTTTTAAAATGTAACAAGATGAATGCTGAAATAAAATAATTTAATTAAAAACTTTAAAAAATAAAGTTGAATAAATCTCCGAAAGCAGAACTAAAAGATTAAAATGCAGAAAGTGGTGGTGGGAGGGGATATGATCCATAGAAGTTCAATCCAAATACACACAGAATCAATCTAGCAAAGGAGGACAAGGAACTCAAAGAAGAGGAAGTATAAAAGGTATCATATAAATAAGTTTATCAAGTTTGAGGGGCACATATCATCAAGGTAAGATAATTTACCAAGTTCTGAGTAAGATGAAACAAGAAAGAGCTACACTTATATATATCATTGTGTGGTTTCAAAACTTCAAGACTAAAGAAAATATATAGAAAACTTCCAGAGAGAAATAAAAGTTTGTCTTCAAAAGAAAAAAAAGATACCTGATGCTAGAAATATTCTTTTTGAGAGGCATGAGGTCAGATACTGGAAAACCACCAAGAAAGAAATATAACCATTTTATAATAGTGACTCTCTGGTGAACAAGACTTACATGGAAATAACTTATCTTGTTTCGGGTTTTCAAAAAAAAAAAAACATAGAAGACATGCTTATCAAACAGAGTGTAATTATCTTCCTTGACAATGTCAAATGCAGTGGAGAGAAGCTGGCAGGTGGAATGTAGAAGGAAATATGATGGGTATGGTGAGGGTAAGAACATCCTCATCTCAAGATGGGAGTCAAGAGATACTGTCAATAACAGATGGATTAAGAAATTGAAATAAAACAAAGAAATCATCTTTTATGCTAACCTCATCTTCTCCTTCTTTCTCACTTGGAGAGGGAGAAGACAAGATTAGTATAAAAAAGCTAGATCCATATCCACCACAGCAGAGAGTCAACAGATCGTGTCTATGGGACATGTCTGAGAGACAGTGGTATTGTATTCATTTAGATTTAGGGAAATACTTAAAAGAGCAGGTGAAGTACTTATTTGCCAGATATAAGACAGGAAATAATAATTGAAAAGAAGTAGGCAGAAGAATTCCTGTGGATCAACAGAGATAGGAATAATTCTTGTTCTATTAGCTGGAAGGGAAAGATGTTGTAACATGTGAGCATCAGGTAGAAGGTATAATAGGGCTCAATTAGCACTACACTAACAGCGTCTCAGAACCCCAACTAACAAAGCCACAAAAGGCTCACAATGATCCAAATAAGTCCAAGAAACTTAACTATATATACAAAATCAAACACTATTTAAAGTACAACAAAATTCTGCAACCAATAATAATAAAAAATTCATTGGCATCCAATTAAAAATTACCATGCATGCAGAGAATGAATGCAATATGCTTCATAACCAGGAGACAAATCAGTCCATAGAAAAAGACACAGATATGACAGAAATTATGTAATTAGACAGAAGACTAAAATGGTATTATAAATGTGCCCTGCGTGTTCAAGGTAGCAGAGGAAAAATGTGACCATGACATGAAGAAAAACAGGAGATAAAAGAGAATATCTTCTAGGGATAAAATCTACAGTAATCAAGACATTGTGATATTAGCATAAGGTTAAACATATATGTAATGAAACAGGAGAGATACCAAATATGCAGATGCTCCTGTATAAATTTAACTGTTTTTCAACAAAGGTTCCAGGCCATTCAATGGGCAAATGATAGTCTTTTCATAAATCATGCTAAAATAATTGGACAACTACATATAAAAACAACGTAGGCCCTTATCATTGTACACAAGAATTAACTTTAAGTGGCTCATAAACCTGAAGATAAGAGCTAAAACTGTACAACTTCTATAAGAAAACAGAAGAAAATCTTTTTGATCTTGGGTCAGCAAAAAGATTTCTTTGACACAACACAAGAAAAGCACAATCTGTAAAAGAAAAAAATTGATAAATAATCTGCATCAAAATTAAGAACGTCTGTTCTTTGAAAGACAATGTTAAGAATATGAAAATAGAAACTATAAGAAACTATATTCGTAAAATGTCTGCTGGTAGCAAACTCATACCTAGCATATAAAAATAACTCCTATGATTCAATAATAAGACGCAACCTAATAAAATTACACCAAAAATTTAAATAGACACTTCATCAAAGAGGATATATGCATAGCACATAGACACATGAAAAGGTGTTTGCCATCATTTGTCATAAAAGAAATACAAATTAAAGCCATTGGATACTCCAACACACACTAGAATGTATAAGATTTAAAAGTCTGCTATACCAAGTGTTATCAAAGATGTGGACTAACTGAAGCTCTTGTACATTTGTTGTGGGAGTATCAAATAGTATAGATGCTTGCCGAAAACTTTTGGTAGTTTCTTTAAAACTTCACTTACCATATGACCCAGAAATCCAACACCTAAGCATTTACTCAAAAGAATTTAAAATATATGTCCACAAAAGATTTATACAAGAATGTTTATAGCAGGTTTATTCATAATAGTCAAAAACCAGAAACAATGCAGATGCCCATCAGCTGATGAATGGATAAACAAATTGTGGTATATCCATACAACAGAATACTACCAGCAATAAAAATAAGTGAACTACTGATACACACAACAGAGCAACAGATGATTCTTAAAGTCATACAGAGCTAAATAAACCAGACACAAAAAACTACATATTGTGTAATTCCTTTTATAGGAAATATTAGAATATTAAAAAACAAAAGTAACAAAAAGTATAAAGGTGGGTGTCAGGGATGGGGTGGAGGAGGGGATCAATTGCAAAGGGGCACAAAGAAATTTTCTTGAGGTGATGGAAATGTTCTATATTCTGATTGCACCAGCAGTTGTAGGACCATAGACATTCAACAAAACTAATCAAACTGTACACTAAATGGGTTAATTTTATCATATGTAAATTATACCTCAACAAAGTTGATTCTAAAAAAAATGGAAGTGAATGCAGAAGCAGGCCTTATGGTAGTAGATCATTGTTTCTTATCATTTGTATGTCTATATTTTTATTTCTGTGGGCATGCATGACATCGGCTTAAAAAAAATTAGGCCAGGCGTGGGGGCCCATGCCTGTAATCCTAGCACTTTGGGAGGCCAAGGCAGGCAGATTGCTTGAGTCTAGGAGTTCAAGACCAGCTTGGGAAACATAGCAAAACCTTGCCTCTACAAAAAATACGAAAAATTACCTGGGCATGGTGGCACACACTTGTGGTCCCAGCTACTCTGGAAGCTGAGGTGGAAGGATCACCTGAGCCCAGGAGGTCAAGGCTGCAGTGAGTTGTGGATGCTGCCACTGCACTCCAGCCTGGGCAACAGAGTCAGACTCTGTCACAAAGAAAAAAAATTAAAAGAAAGGGGAAAAAATTGAACTTTAACCAGATTAACTTGGACCTTAATATGGTCAACAGAATTTGTGTTTTATTTCAGTAAGAAAATAAAATATTCCCCCCAAAACACCCCATAATGTAAAAGTCTCATTCACAAGGGCAAAAACAACCCATATGAAAAAATCTTCCTGAGCGCCATGAAGAAAACTGGACTAATGTAAAGATACAGTTACAATACAATCACAAGTTGCTTTTTTAAAAAATGTACAATATAGTCCTAATGTTCGTCTGGAAAAATGAATATGCATAAATAGTCAAGAAATGCCTGGATAAATGATTTCTGTCTCACAGAACAAGGATGTTATGTTTTTTAAAAATTATTCTACTCTCTGTGATTTAATATCGCGCCCTTATTTGGTGGATTTATATGTGTTTATAGCAATCCTCAGCTAAGTGATCTTGGTTTACAATAGGTTCTTAGGGAGGAATACTGTCTTTATACTGGGCAGGATTCTTCCAAATTCATTCTCTCATTACAACATGAGATTTGGATAAACTGCATTTACTTAATGGGCTCAAATTTTAAATATTTAGTTTGTGAACTAGATGACTGTGGAAGGTCAACTTATATATTCTGGAAGATAGAGAAGGCCTTGTTTGAACAAACCTAGAATGTGCAAATTTGTTTGTCAATATAGCCAAAATCTCCTTCAAATAATGGGAGTTTAAGAGTTTATGAATCAACCTGAACAGCTTGCTGATGATCATTTAATAGACTGTGTGGGAAATTGAGTTTACTTCAAATTTATGAACTGATGGAGCTATTCCCTATAATGATTAACAATGAGTCATAGAAGAAACCAAGGGTCATTCTCAGGCACATGCGCCTAATGTCAGGTGTGGAGAGAGTGAGAACAGTTGTAGAAGAGGGAAAGGTCTCATGACATCTGTTAGCTAATTTTCATTTTTAAAGTGAAGACACAGACTGGAAAAATTTTAAGGTGAACTTAGTACCTAAAACATCTCCAAAATGGGTGCTTTGTGAAAAGCCTGGGTCAAAATCCCCGAAAGATTATTATTAATGTAAGAAAGCAATAACTCAGAGGAAGCTGTAATAATATCACAATATGTTTACTTAATTTGGGGGCTCAGAATATAAGTGCAGGGAACATAGGGTGGTTGAACACATTTCTCTGATAATTAATGTTTTTACCTGAAAAACACATCATACACACATTCCAAGGCCCAGATGTGAAACACTTAGAAAGGTACCATATAAAAGTAACTGAAGCAAATATAATAGCAGATGCTTAAACAGAAAGAAGACATAGAACTGATCTTCCAAAAGTGACTTTTGGAATGCAGTCAACATTAAGCATGTTTAAAAGGAATAATTAATGAAATGAATGATATTTACTTAGAGTTTGTTCAATAAATATTTGTCCCAAAAATGTTGACTGAGCATCTGTTATATGCAGGGACTGCAGTAAATACCTTAAAAACACAACCTCATTCCAACCACAAGAATCCAATCAGAGAGGTAAGTAGTATTATTTTCCATATTTTATAAAAAAAGAAACCAAACATAACAAGTGTAACAATCCATCCAAGTTCACACCACCAATTAGCAGTGGAGTTGGAATTCAAACCCAGGTATTCTGGTACAAAGAATACAAGCATTGAATGCTAAGCTGAAAAATATTATTAGGTCAAATCCAACCTATTCTATGAATAATTGTTTTAAAATCTGAACAAATATAGCATAAAAATGTAAGGTTTTTAAATTTTGTTTTTCGAACAAAAAATAATTTTTTGTTAAACATTTCTAATCATAAACCTTTTGGGTTAATGTCTCATGTAGAATAACCAGAAAATGACCCAAAGCTCCTTCTGCTCCTTTTTACAAAGAAATGTTATTTAAGAAATATCAATCAGCCCGTTATTATTGTTATCATTTCTGCACTTTGGTACCACAGTTCATCCCTAAATTAGACACTGCAAAGAACATATATACACTAAGAGGAATTTATAATCTAAAATAAGAGGAAACAAATATACAGTCATGCATCACTTAACTGGGACACATTCTAAGAAATGAGTTGTTAGGGGATTTCATCATTGTGTAAACATCAGAGTGTACTTACACAAATTTAGTGTTGCCTATTACACACCTAGGCCATACGGTATAGCCTATTGCTCCTAGATACAAACATGTATAGCATGTTATTGTACTGAATACTGTAGCAATTGTAACACAATGGTATTTGTGTATCTAAACACATCTAAACATAGAAAAGGTACAGTAGAAATACAATATGAAAGACAAAAAAATGGCAATCTACATAAGGCACTTACCAGGAATGGAGCTTGCAGAACTGGAAGTTGCAGTCATTTAGTGAGTGAGTGATGAGTGAATGCTAAGGCCTAGGACATTATTGTATATTGCTGTAGACTTTATAAATACTGTACACTTAGACTACACTAAATTTATAAAAAAGTTTTATTTATTCAATAATAATTAACCTTCCTTAATATAACTCTTTTACTTTATAAACTTTCTAATTTTTGTAAACTTTTTGACCCTTTTGTAATAACACATGGCTTAAAACACAAACACATTATACAGCTGTCCAAAATGTTTTATTTGTTTATAATATTCTATAAGCTGTATTCTATTTTTAGTTTTTTTTGTTTTACATTTGAAACCTTTTGTTAAAAATCAAGATACAAACACACACATTAGCCTAGGCCTACACAGGGTCAGGATCATCAATATCACTGTCTTCCACTTCCACATCTTGTCCCACTGGAAGGCCTTCAAGGGCAATAACACACATGGAGCTGTCATCTCCTGTGATAATAACGCCTTCTGGAATTCCTCCTGAAGGACCTGCCTGAGGCTGTTTTACAGTTAACTTTCTTTTTATAAGTAGAAGGAGTGCATTCTAAAATAATGATAAAAGATATATCAGAGTAAATACATAAGCCAGTATCATAGTCATTTATTATCATTATCAAGTATTGTGTACTATGCGTAACTGTATGTGCGATACTTTTATACAACTGGAGGCACACGTTTGTTTACACCAGCATCACCACAAACACATAGGTAATGCATTATACTACCATGTTAGGACAACTACAATGTCACTAGGCAACAGGTATTTTTCAGCTCCATTATAATCATATGGGATCACCATCATACCATGTGGTTCATTGTTGACTGAAACGTTGTTATGTAGCACATGACAGTACATGAAATGATTAGAAATGACACTGGAAATAATTGTCTAAATGATCTGCTTAAACAGCTGGCAAATACAACTGGATACAAATAGCACCTTGTATAGAACAGTGATTCTCAAAGTGTGGTCCAAGGAAGCCTGGGAATCCCCAAAACTCTTTCAGGAGGTCCTCAGGATCAAAGTCATTTTCTTAAAGTTTAATTCTCATTCCGTTATGAGCATAGAGAGGTATTTTCCACTGCTGTGTGGTTGGAATGTGAATTCCTAATTTTCCCAATCCCCACCAAGTGGTAAATCTTAGGGTAAAACCACACTACTGGTTGGGCTCTCACAGTTCATTAAAATGGTCTCTGCACAGCTGTGCACACACTTCAAAATCTGTGATAGCAAATGCTCTTATCTTCTCTAGTGGTTCTCCAATTTGAATGTGCTGGAGAGGTTGTCAAAACATATTGCTGAGCCCCATTCCCAGATATCCTGATTCAGTATGTCTATGGTGAGTGCTGAGAATCACTGTCCTCAGCCGTAGGCCAACCAGACTCTCACCCCTGTCCATCTGGAGGGGCCTCAGATGGTAAAACGGAGTGTGTGACCTATTCTAACCTATTCAGCTTCTCATGGTTTGTCCTGAGACATTGTTCTTTCAAAGCTCTCTGCCTGGATACAACTGCTCTCAGATAAGTAGTCATGGAAAAGCTTTTGAAACATTTAGCTTTAAAGTTCTTTCTAGAAGTTCACACATTGGAAACATTAGTTGAAGTTGGACAGTTTAGTCTTGAAGTGATTCATCGGAACTGTAAAGTTATGCAGGTGAAGCCCTTGGAGCATAGGCAAATAGCTGGGAGACACCCTCAATCCTGTTTCAGTCTGTAAAAGAGGTAAGTGTTTCAACAAAAATATGATCTGTAGTTGCTAAGGATATGCTTTCTGCAATACTCTAAAGCATGTGCTGCACCCATCGAAATTCTATGAGGCAGAGAAGTCTTTGAGGTCCTGTTGTCCTAACAGAACACTTGCCAGTATCCTGACAGAATTAGGAAGTCACTTTGAGCTGCCCTCCAGACAGGAGCGCACACAAAGGAAGGCTTCATCTGAAATCCTAAGCAAAGAAAAGTGAAGTGAGGAAAGTGGAACATTAAATTTTAGAACTGGCAAGTAGCAACAGTTTGCAACCTTGAAGATATTTAACTAAGAGTTGAAATTTCACAAAAGTATGGTTTTGACAACTAAATGCCCCCCAAGGGTGAAGATTGTTCCTGGAAAAAAAATCTAAAATGCTGTTATTTAACCCAGGTTATTGGCCACTAAAATCACATATGCCAAAATTCGGGGGAGAAAAAATAGTCTGAAGAAAAGAGAGAAAGAAGAGAACTTACCTTGGTAGAAGGAACGCCCTCATTCTTTAAATGGACTGTAGTCATAGAGCCATTTTCCTTGGGTCTCTCCTTAGTGATGTGTCTTTCCTTGTGTCTCTTCTTAGCATTTCCATTGAGAGATCTTCCTTCTCTAACTCCTTTAGGTTTCTATGAAGCTTTTAGCCTTCAAGAAATGACATTTTGCTTTCAATTTTTTATATTTATCTTTTCTTAGATCTGAAAATCTCAGTTGTTTCTAAACCAAGAACTTTGCAAGGATTCCAAAGCCACTCAGGGCTTGTTCATTAAATTCACCCAAGCTCGTTCACCAGGAGACCATAGGGTGCCCGTGAGGTAAAACATAATCTATGAGATGTTTTGGGAGGAAAGGATGATGCAACTGGTGTGGATTTTGCCCCAGAAGGGTCTTATAAGTGGTTTGGTTGAAGAAATAAGTTACCTATGTGTATGATGATGAAATACAAGTGATTCTTGCTGCAAGAGAGGTAAACATAGGTGCAATGAGAGTTGAGGGATGGGAGTGGAGGTCGCCAAAGACTTTGAGAAAGAGGGTACATCTAAACTGAGCTTTGGAGAATAGTGAAGTGCAGAGATAATGGTGGTAGGGGATGCAGTGAGGGGTGGTCCTGCATAGCTGAAATTTCAGTTTTGCCAGATTTGTCTGTGACAGTGTGCATGTGCAATGCAAATACAGCCAATACCACCAGAGTCTCCCTGTGAGTCAGATCATCTTATTTATATAGCAATCCCCAAAAATATTCTTTTAAAATTTCAGTAACTTTGTCTGGAAGTATCTGGGAAGGTTTTTTCTCTCCTTACTGGATATTCAATTTCCTAGTGTGAAATCCAATGCACCAGAAGTCAATCCATGTTTTTGCCTTGTTTGGAATAAATTATTGAAAAGAGCCATGCTGAGATTTATATTACTTGTATAAAAACATTGCATTTGAGATGGGAAAGACTACTACAAATCTGGCTGGATCTATACTCTTTTTGGAGAATAACGGAGAAATCATCCCAATGTAAATGTAGTATCTTCAGGTCTGCCTCAGCTATGCATTTACAGTTAAATGGTTTGAAATTCTCTAACATAGAGGAAAAACACTTGAATGAAAAAGAAGAGAGGAACAGATTTTTTAAAAGGGGAGGAAAAATACAACAAGATGAAGAAGAAATTTGGAAATGAGGCAAGCATAAAAAGAGTCAGGGAGAGATGGAGAAGGGGAGATAGGGTTGGATGACAAGAAACCGTTTTAAAACAACACAAACCCTCTGCCTGCCCCTATAGTGGAAAGTGCCATGGACTCTTCTAGGTTTCTCCCCATGGGTACACCCATTATCAGGACTCCAAATAATCTGTCTGGCCCAGCCTTTGGCATTCCTGTCCTGTGGGATAGAGGGAAGACAGACACAAAATGCATGGGCTGGAGGAGGCGATGCATGCCAGAGGCGCCTGCGAGGACTGGGGGAAACAGACCACACTGGTCCAAGGAGCCAGACACCTGTGTAAACTGCAGGAAGCTGAAAGGAGCCTAGCTGAGCTGATGGAGACACCACATGCAGGCGGTTTTAGGAGTCAAAGTCACACAGAGACAAAGGCGCATGCACATACACACACACACACACACACACACACGTCACACACACACACATACACACACACTCACTCAATCAGGGAAATAAGTAAAGGCAGGCTGACCCAGAAAGGGGCAGAGAAACATTGAGGGGAAAAAGTAACATTCAGATAGGGAAAATGTATCCCCCAAAAAAGTATCTCAAGGGACATGACTATTTCTAAATGCCCTTGTTTTGCATTTTCATATAGATGTACTTGCTATGTCAAAAAAGTCTAAGTGACACCTTTCAGTAGGTTAACAGTACCCAGTTAATTAAACTTACTAATTTGTCAAATGTCTGGACAGATGAGAGCTTACATAAACAACATCTATGAGTGTTTTATAATATACCTACGGACAGGCCCTGCCCGTGGCCTACTGAATCAGAATTTCAGAGCATAAGGGCTAAATCACAGGTAATATTGACACCCACTCCCTCTTAAGGGCTACTGAGAGATTGGGAGTGGATTGCATTTCATTTAAAGAAACACACAGCCTGTCTCTGGGAGACGAAACTGTTAACCTGCTCTGTGTTTTAATCCATTTATGCTGGAGGTTGGAAATCTTTTGTGTGAAAAATCAGACCTTGGCGATGACCCTGAGCAGTAGGAGATACATAACTCCCACAAGCTTAGTGTTCCAAAAATGGAACACTAGGCATAAATGGGCTAAAAGGAACACTTAAAATGCACACACAAACGTACAGAGGGGAAAAAGATAATAAAAGGATCTCGAAATTTGAATTCTTAGAAAAAGAATATACAATATCAACAAGTTAACTCCAAGGACTTTCACAAATGCCCTAATTTAATATCATTAAAGTGTAGTAATTCTCATCTCAGAATATTTATTCTCATATTTTGGGTTACCCTGAGCATATTACAAGAAAGTGCTTTCCAAAGTGTGATTTGTGGTGTACTAATACCCTAGAAGCTCTTTGGGGGGGAAAGTTAAAGGAAATGGAGAACTCTACATATTTTTTCCCAGCATCCCCACACATATACCAATTACCACAATCCAATCTGTATTAGCAGCTAAGACATTTTTTAAAACTTATTTAACTTTATTTTAAAAAGTATTTTTCAAACTTATGTGTCCATAGAATCAGTTTTCAATATAATGCCTATGAGTATCATGAGAAACTAGTGTTACAAGGAATTAACTTTTTTAAAAGCACTGGATTCTTGTATCAAAACAGGTAACTGGTCACCAACCAAAGCTTCCTTGTTTTTTAAAGAGACAAAGCCAATGATTTATAAAATTATCATTAGAGAGTATAGCAAACACATAAGCCTATGTTAAAAGCAAATGTGCTATTAGATTGGTACAAAATTGATGGTAAAAATGACAACTACTTTTGCACCAACCCCAGCATTCAGTATTTTCCATATGCTAAGTTCCTGGCTCACCTTAGGTGAAGATCAAACTAAATTATTTTCTAGTACATTAAAAAAAAAACAAAAACAAAAAAACAAAGCAAAACAAAAATGCTCTCTGAGGAATCTGAACTAAACACAGCTCATGGCAATATAAGACCAGAAGATACTTCCGACTGATGTCCAGAAGTAAATTTTAAGCTAAGGACTGACTATAGTGAAAGCCACTAGTAGGAAAGTTAACTCGGATGAGCCTCTTCTCGGATGGTCAAGGATGCCCTGCTGCCTGTGCAGGTGTTGTCCAGGGAGGAATCTGGCCCTGGGCCCTCCACATCACAGCCTGTCCTGATCCCTTCCATAGAGCCAGCACATGGGAGGATGACTGGAGATAAGTCACGTTAGCTATTGGTGAAAACACTGAGTTGATTCGTAACTGCATAATTCACCAGCTCATACACATCGGTGACATAAGCAATGCTAGCTTGATAGAAAGGCCTTCAGAGAGTCTCTGAATGTGGGGTAAATCTGGTTTCAGCAAGGAACTCAGGATGTTAGACGAAAGTCTCATGAGGGGAATTGGGAAGATGGAAAGTTAACAAGAAACGTCAGAATATACAAGCTTTTATTTCTAAATCTAATGAGCCTAAGTGGTGGTGGGGGTGGGGAACTCTATAAGTCATTTCTGAGTGGCATACATAAATGGTACTGTAAAATGAGCAAATAAAATAATTTTTAATTGGGCTTTTCATTATGGCGGGCAGCTTTTCCACACGGTTTTGGAGCCAGTGGTTGCTAGGAAATATGACAGAATGAGGAAGTGAACTGTAAGTGATATTTGGGGTGTGTGCAAGATAGGGAGGGGTGGGCAAGATGATCTCATGTAACTAAATGTAACTAAATACATTTCTTGTCCATGGTTGATTTGGCACCATTTTAAATCTTTGTTTTGAAATTTCCAAAGCACATCTCTCTAACTTGGTTTTAGAATATGAAACCTAATATGCATTCTTTTAAAACTCAGTGTCCACACCGTGGATGGTGGTGATGAGGGAGAACAATTCAGCAAGAAAATAATAAAAATTTCCACTGGGTGGTTTATCCGGTCAAGGTTCTGTTCACTAAGTCTCAGTTTTCCTAATAGAAACAGGTGTGGTTTTATTCTGAAATAAAAATATCAAATAATCTTCTAAGAGCGACAAAGCTACGTACTGTGGCTTGGTAATTCTTACTGCCCGCATTCTTTCCCAAAACCTCTCCTCTGTTCCACTCCTGAATATTTCAGCAGAGCACTAAGCCCACAGCTGGGGGAATCAGAGCATAACAGCTGACTCCTCTGGGTGCTAAGAAAAATAACAACCACCACCACCACCACCACCATCTCAGGAATGGAAATGTGATGCTGGTTTTCGAGGCATTCTCTGTGTGAAATATGCCACAGACACTGACCTACATGTAGTTCTCCCACATGGTCTCATGAGCTGTCAGAAGCGTTCTTGCTAAGGAGAGGGATAAAGTTTGTATTTCTTTTGAATTCATTGGGTTACCCAAACTTACATTTGAGAAGAGTGAAACTGTAAAGAAGTATATATATTGATTTGTATAATATTTGTTTGGGAAATATTATTAACTATACTAGGAAAATCACAAAGAAGTATGTATAAGATCTGATTTTGTTAAGAGTATCCTTTTCTCCATGAAAAATATATTATATGTAATAAGCCACTAAAATGACAGCCACTATGCATCAGTTTTTATTGAGGTATCAATAGGACAGATTCAGAGTGAATGTAAGAGAGACCTCCATAATTTCTGACTTTAGAAATGAAATGGTCAAATATTAGCTTCATAATTCTAAGTCACTAGCCAAAGGGCCCCTTACTCACATCGAAAATATAAAGGGGTCAGATAGTGAAGAGAGTTTTCAAGTAGATAATTCTTTCTACAGTTGTTGCTGAGCTTCAAGTGTCCCTTACCCAAAAGGAGGGTAGTTAGGATATGCTACCTCCTTCACCTCCAGCCATGTGAGGATTGACTTCCATGAGATCACTTAGAGAGATGTAAATATATTCCTTATTTTTGGGGGAGCACAGAATAACTAACATGCCCTGAGAATGTTAAGATGCCCTGATGCATCGGGATGGAAATGGCTGCATTAGAGTTAGTCTGTACTCCCAGAATTTGTTGGGGAAAAGCGTGGACCAGAGGTGGGCCACATCTGGGAGCAAGCCAGGAAAGGGTTGTCTTGGGTCCTGTAAAATAAAAGCTTCTGAGCAACCTTGTCCAACCCATGGGCCACATGTGGCCCAGGAAGGCTTTGAATGAGGCCCAACACAAATTCGTAAACTTCCTTAAAGCACTATGAGATATTTTTGCAAATTTTTTAGCTCATCAGCTATCATTAGTGTAGTGTATTTTACGTGTGGTCCAAGACAATTCTTCTTCCAATGTGCCCCAGGGAAGCCAAAAGATTGGACACCCCTATTCTAGAGGTACAGAGGAACTGAGCACCAAGAAGCTGAAGGTAGACATTGGATTTCTAGAAGTGGTATAAGCAAACCTCCCCAGTAGAACTACATACAGTCCTTAATGATGGAAGTCTCCTAACAACTGCAAAAGGGGAGAAGGAGTCAGCCTTAACTACCATGACACACTAGAACATTTTCAAGATTGAAAATGGGTGCTATAATAATTATTATCGGACAGTAAATATAAAAAACCACTGCCCCCATGCAACCGGAAAAAATCGTCATCCTAATTTTAACTATCTGCTGCTTAGACAGCCTCATGCCAAACGACAACACAATCTTGCTATTTAAGATTTTGCCCTTTCCCCCTTGACTACATTAGGTAGGGATGAGGACTCTTATGAGAAAAAAATAAACTGCAAGTGAAAAATAGGACTGCAACCCTTATTCCCAAGAGTTATTCAATTTTCTGTTATTTAGTTTTAAAACGTAAGGGGATTTTTAATTTAGTGTTTTGTTATTAATTTCTAATTGCAGCATATTTAGAGAATGTGGTCTGCATGATGTGGATTAATTGAGGCTTTTTGGTGGTTTAGTACAAAGTATACTTTTGTAAATGCTGCATGTATGCTTGAAAACAAGTAGTAGTCTCTATTTGCTGGAGTTGAATTCCACATGCATCCAGTAGCTTACATTTACCCATTGTATTTTGGGGGGTCTTAAAAATTTCTGTTTGTTTTTCATATGTTTTAATTTATTATTTCCTGAGAAGTATGTATTAAGACCAGGTAAAATTTCTGATTGATTTCACTCTGTAGTTCTGTCAATTGTTGCTTGTATATTTTAAGACTACATTGTTAGGAGCATGTACATTAATGGTAGATATGTCACAAAGAATGTCTTAAAAGTAGCCAGGGAAAAGCAGAGTTTCTTCAAAGAAATAGTCAATAGACTGAGAGCTGACAATAATGGAAGCCGCAAAAGTAGAATATATTTAAAGTACTGAAAAAATAACTTAACATAGAATTTTATATGCAGTGAAATTATGTTTCAAAATGAGGATAAAAGAATTTTTAGACAATAAAACTAAGAGAACTTTGTTACCAACATCCCTGAACTAGAGAAAATTCTAAAGATATATCCCCAGCAGAATGAGAATACTCCTAGATGGAAGGCCTTAGATGTAAGAAGGAATAAATAGCAGAGTACTAAAAACATGTGTCAATTGAAACAAACACTGAGACGATAAAGAATAATAATAATATCATGTAGGGTTATGAAGAAGATAGCATTAAAATATATTAATTCAATAGCACTTATGTTGGGAGAGCCATCATCAGAGAAAAAGTATTACAAGATTCTTTTATTATTAAGAAGGATAATAAATATATTAACAAAATTGTATTTATAAGTTAAAAATGAAAGTTAAAAGCTTCAGGGTAACTCATAAAGGAATTAAAATATAACATCTCCATATTCATAAAGAAAAAGATATTCAATCACCCCAAAAAGCAAATGAGGTGAGAAAGAAATTAGAAGAGGAGGGGAAAATAGAGAGCAAAAAATAAGAAGCCAGAAGTTAAAGAGACATCAGAGTTTAGGAAGGAGGAAGTAATTTGAGAGGTAACAAAAATCAATGAATTTGGAAAAAAACAGCAAAAATCAATGAATCAAAGAAGTGATTCGTTTAAAAGGTAATAAAAGTCCCACCAGTAAGATTGACAAAGAAAAAAGAGAAGATACATATTGCAAATGTCAGAAGTAAAACAATGGTTATCACTTTAGACCCAAATTAGACAACTTAGATGAAATAGACTAATTCCTAGACAAGTATGAAACGTCACAATTTGCCAATAGGAAATAGATAATTTTAATAGACCAATAGCTATTAAGAAAATTGAATTCATAATTTTAAAACTCCCAGAAATCTCTAAGTCCAGATGACTTCCATGGATAATTCTACCAAAAGTTTAAATGAAAATTAACACTAATTCTACCACAATCTCTTCCAGAAAACAGAGGAGGCTGACTCTTCTGAACTCCTTCAGTGATCCCTGCATTACCTTGATATCAAAACGAAAGATGCTACACACACACACACACACACACGATCTACAGGTAAACATCCCTCATGAATATGGATGCCAAAATTCTTAATAAAGTATTAGCAAATAGAACTGAGAAACATATGGAAATAATTATATATGACCAATGGGGCTTATCCAGAAATGTAAGCTGGTTCACTACTTGAAAATTAATCAATGTAATCTACTATATTAATTGGCTAAAGAAGAAAAATCATTTGATAATATCAATCTACACACAAAAAAAAATTTAGCAAAATCTAACACCCACTCATGATTTTAAACATTTCAGAAAAATAGCAATAGAGAGAGATTCCTCAACTTGATAAGGAGCACCTACAAAAAAACCTACAGCCTATGTTGTACTTACTGGTGCAAGACTGAATGCTTTCTCCTCGAGATTGAGAACAAAAGAAGGATCATTTCATCATTTTTATTCAGCACAGTGATGAAAGTTCTATCCAGTGCAGTCAGGCAACAAAAGGAAATAAAAGGTACACAGAAATCAAAGGAAGAAATAAGAGTGTCTCTACTTAAAGAAGACATGATTGTCTACATAGAAAATTGAAAGGAATCTTTAAAAAATATATATTCCTGGGAGTAATAACTGAGTTCAGTAAGGATGCAAGATATAAAATAAATAAACAAAAATTGGTTGTGTTTCTGTATATTAGCAATGAAAACATAGCTAATAAAATTAAAAATATAATACCATTTACAGTAACTCAAAATAAAGAGACCCTTAGGAGTAAATCCGACAAAACAGGTTTTGAACTTACATGTTGAAAACTGTAAAATGTTGATGGAAGAAATAAAAAGACTAACATAATTGAAGAAATAGTCCATGTTCATGAATTGGAAAACTCAGTACAGTAAAGATATCAATTCTCCCCAAATTCAAATATGGATTAAACATAATTTCTATGAAAATTTCAGCAAAAAAGTGTAGGTATAAACAGGACTATTATAAAAATTTATATTAAAAGGCAAAGAAACCAAACAACTAAAACAATTTTGAAAAAGGAGAATAAAGCGGGAAGAATCACTACCTTATTTCAAGACTTATATAGCTACAGTAATCTTACATAGCTGTAGTAGTCAACACTGTGGTATTGGAAGAGAGACAGACATGTAGGTCAATGGAATAAAATAACCCAGAAAGAGACTTATAAAGTATGGCCAACTGATTTTTGATGAAATTGCAAAAGCAATTCACTGGATAATCTTTTCAACAAACGGTGCTGGAGCAGTTGGATATCCATAGGCAAAAATAAATAAATAAATATTAACCTAAATCTCATATATTACTTGGAAATTATTAATAACTTGAAATGGATCATAAATTAAATATAAAACATTTTTAAATAAAACTTTTCAAAGATAATATAGGAGAAAATCTTCTGGACCTAGGGCTTGATGAAGAGTTCTTAGACATAACACCAAAAGCATGATCCATTAAAGAAAAAATTGGTAAACTGGACTTCATCAGAATTAAAATATTTTGGTAAGACTCTGTTAAGAGGAAGGAAGACAAGCTATGGACTGGGAGAAAATATTAGTAAACAACCTATCTGACAAAAGACTAGAATCTAAAGTATATAAAGAACTCCCCAATTCAATATAAAACATCCAATTAGAAAATGGACATAAGACATAAAAAGTCATTTAACTAAAGAGTATAGATGAATGACAAATGCACACATGAAAAGATGTTCATCACTGTTCATGGAAGTGCAAATTAAGACCACAATGGGATAGCCCTATTCATCTCTTAGAACAGCTAAAATAAAAAATAATGCCAATTCTAAATGCTGATGGGTATGCAGAGAAAATGGATCTCTCATACATTTCTGGTGGAAAATAGTTTGAAAGTTTCTGTTTAAAATAAATATATAGTTATCATACAGCCCAGAAATTGTACTCCTGGGCATTTACTTAGAAAAATAAAAGCTTATATCTGCCCAAAAATCTATATATGACTGGTAATAGCATATTTATTTGTAATAGTAAAAATTTTCCTCAATAGGTGAATGGTTAAACAAACTGTAGTATATTCATACCACAGAACACTACTCAGAATGAAAAGGAACAGACTATTGATACATGCAATGACTTAGCTAGATCTTGAGGTTGTGCTGAGTAAAATAAGCCCTCAACAGGTTACATACAGTATTATTGTATTTACATAACACTCTCAAAATGACAGAATTTTAGTGATGGCAAAAAGTTATTGATGGCCAGGGCTAGGGATGGTAGAGGAAAGAAAGAAAAGTGAGTGTGATGAGAATTTTGTCATGGTGGAATAGTTCTGTATCTTAATTGTGGTGCTTACACAAATCTATACATGTAATAAAATATCATGGAACAACACATAAACTATCAATACTAAATGGTTTTGATATTGTACTATATGTTCGATGAGACCATTGGCAGAAACTGGCTGATGAGTACTTGGGACTTCTCTGTACTCTCTTTGCAATTTCTTGTGACTCTATAATTATTTCAAAATAAAAATGTTCCAAAATTCATGAGGATGATAAACTCCAAAGTACAACATTGATCTCAGATCTAATGAACAGTATAGAAAATATGAAGAAAAGAAGACAGTGTTAGTCAAAAATGTTAACCAAATCATGCGTTTTTCCTCTGGTCAAACTTAAAAAAGAGAGAATGCTTTAAGAACATAATTCGTTTTTTTTTTTTAACGTCATGGGTGCTACATTTTAAAGTAAAAGTACTTTTAGTTAAATACTAACCAATTTTAACAGTTGAAAGTAACTGAATATGGAGATTTGCCCAACTTATGTATTCTAAGAAACAAAGTTATTTCTAGAAAACAAGTTATTGGGGGAAAAGTTTTTTCTGTATTCTATTTCTTTTGTGCACAAAAAGGTTAGTAATATTATTGAACATGACACTTCTGTATATTTTCGTACATCAGCTTTAGGACGTGCAGACAGAACCAGAGATCTTTTTCAAGTTTGACAGACCCAGGGACTGATAACAAATTCATCTCTGCTTCTGCTTTACGTGACTGCCAAGAGATTTCTGGGTGTCACACAGCTCACTTAGTGAATCTGATTGAAGAAATATTTATAGAATGAAACAATCAGTTGAGAAAAGGATCATGTAATTATCACTGACAATGAAACAAACATGGTGAAAGCCATGAGTGATTTATGAAGGAATCCCAAGTGTATGATGTTGTGTTCTCACCCTTTATTTGTGTCCTCAAAAAAGTAATTATAGTACAGTATAATGTGACAGAATTACAAGTGGTCAGCAGAAGGAGAATGGGCAAATTTGATCGATTCTCTTCAGCCAAAGACTAACTCTGTGATATCAAGAGAGTTTAAAACTGTCTTGCCATTATTTTCACAAGCTATTCAAACAAAATGAAATAGCCAATACTTAGTTTTAAAAGCCCCTTGAGCAAAAGAAAGCCTTAATCATTTACTTTGCAGATAACAACGACTTTTAACTGATGTTTGCGTGTGGAGATTTTTATTTGCTGCAACCTGCTGAAGGAGAAAGCAAATTTAAACTCCTTGAGGCAGCAATTATTTCTTACAGTACATCCCCATAATTTTATTACAGGGAAGATGATGGAATAAGTATGCATGAGATGTAAATGGAAACTCAGCTGTTATTTCATCACCTTGAAAGCCATTCACAGTCGCCCACTGCCATCTCTAGACTCATGGCTTAAATACAAGTTTCTGAAGTGATTTTTGTGAAACAGCAATAGCATGCTGTTTCATTTTCTATTGCTGCATAACAAACCATCCCAAAATTTAGCAATGTAAAACAATCATTATATGATGCTGATAGATGCTGTCAGTCAGAAATTTGGGCAGGGCCCAGAAGTAATGGTTTGTCTATGCTCTACAAAGCCTGGGGACAGAGTTGGAAAGGCTCAAAGAATGAGGGTAACAACAACAGCTTGGGGCTGGAATCACTCTGGGGCGTCTTCATTCACATGTCTGGCAGCTAATGCCTGCTGTCATATGGTACCTCACCAGGGCTGCTAGCTATAAAAGTAGACACAATCTGTCTGCGGGTTTTTCTCCACGTGGGCTAGTTTGTGCATCGCCACAGCGTGGTCGCTAGATTCCAAGCACATGAGTTCTGAAAGAACAAGATGACAGTATTCAACATTTGGAATTTATACAGCTTCACTTCCACCATATTTTATTGGTCGGAGGAGTCAAAAAACCCCACCCAGTTCCAAATTCCAAGGAGAGAAATTACAGGTTTTACTCCTTGATGGAAGAAGAGGAAGCTTCAAGAAAAAATGTGTGGCATAAAAAATATTATTCTAGTGTATTAGCTTGTTCTCACATTGCTATAAAGTACTCGAGACTAGGTAATTTATAAAGAAAAAAGAAGTTTTAATTGATTCACAGTTCCGGAGGCTGTACAGGAACATGGCTGGGGAGGCCTCAGGAAAGTCACAATCATGGTGGAAGTCAAAGAGGAAGGAATCATGTCTTACATGGCCAGAGAAGGAGGAAGAGAGCAAAGGGGGAGGTACTACACACTTTTAAACAACCAGATCTCATGAGAAGTCACTTACTGTAAGGAGAAGAGCAAGGGGGAAATTCACCCCCTTGATCCAATCACCTCCCTCCGTGCCCCTTCTCCAACACTGGGGATTACAATTCTACTTGAGATTTGGGCAGGAACACAAATCCAACACATATTATGTGGCTATCTTTAGAAAATGCACTCTGCCACACGTTAAAATAATAAAAACAAAGAAAACAAGTGACAACAATAATTTCAGTTCTGCTTCTGAAAATATTTGGTATATTTTTTGAGAAGTATACAAAACTTCATATTATAGGGTTGTTGCAATGAAATTACATCATCATTGACCAGTTTCATGAGGGGGATTATAAAAATAAGTACAAGTAAAATTAAATAGAAATATAGAATTTAAATTATAATTCAAGGCCTCCATAGAAGAGGTTATAGACATAATTATCTTAAAGTTGAAAGGGACTCTTAACCTTAAAAAATCCGTCATTTCATTTCATAGAATTCCTTTAACAATCTCCAATGACAAAAAATTTACTACCTCCTAGAACAGTCCATCCCATCAAGAGCAATACTGGGTAGCTGTCACATGCCAGTGTAGGGGTAATAATAAGAGGCTTGTAGAAAAGATTTAATGTAGATTTATCTTTCAGAATGAATAGAATTTAGATAATTGAAAAGGAGAGAAAGATCATTAGCAGGGGAATTCTAAAGTGGACATACAAATTTAAGAAGTAAAAGAGCTATTTGGGTACAAGGAGAAGTTAATTGTTTAATTGTAATAGAAACATTTTGAGAAAAACCTGGAAGATAAGGCAACAAGTTGAGATCTAACTGGGGAAGACTTAATGCACTTTGTATTCTGTCCGATAAATAAGTTTCTGTAGTTTTTGAGCATCAGAGTAATAAAATTAAGATAATTTTAGGAAGACTAATCTGAGAGTAGGGATTAAAGTGAAACGAAGTGGAGGCAGGAAGACCTCCTACGTTTATCCAGGTATGCAGTGTAAAAAACCACACAGAGCCAGACATGACACTGATACAGCAAGTCACCATTTTCCACATTTCATCCTACTGCAGACTGCATACAAATTTATAATCTCCCAGCCATCCTCTTCTTTCAAGCATATTACTATTCTTAGATATTAAAACTCAGCAGTAAAGTGTTGGTAAAGTTTGGCCTGAACACAATATTTTAACTTAGGAAGTACTGTGACATCCTTTCAAATCAAATTTCCTCTTGGTCTTGAGTCAAGAAATATGGAAATTAACCCAGAAATTCCACTTCTAGGTATATATGCCAGGGAAACTCTCACATATGAACACAAGATGTGGATAAGAATGTTGGCGTGGCTGGGCGCTGTGGCTTACGCCTGTAATCCCAGCACTTTGGGAGGCTGAGGCAGGTGGATCACCTGAGGTTGGGAGTTCAAGACCAGCCTGACCAACATGAAGAAATCCCTGTCTCTACTAAAAATACAAAATTAGCCGAGCGTGGTGGCACATGCCTGTAATCCCAGCTACTTGGGAGGCTGAGTAAGAGAATTGCTTGAGCCAGGAGGCAGAGGTTGCAGTGAGCTGAGATCACACCATTGCACTCCAGCCTGAGCAACATGAGCAAAACTCTGTCTCAAAAAAAAAAGAGAATGCTTGTGACGGCCAGGTGTGGTGGCTCACACCTGTAATCCCAGCACTTTGGGAGGCCAAGGCAGGTGGATCACCTGATGTCAAGAGTTCTCCTGGTCAACATGGTGAAACTCCATCTCTACTAAATATACAAAAAAAATTAGCTGGGTGTGGTGGTGTGGGCCTGTAGTCCCAGCTACTTGGGGAGGTTGAGGTAGGAGAATCTCTTGAACCTAGGAGGCAGAGGTTGCAGTTAGCTAAGATTGCACCACTGCACTCCAGCCTGGGCTACAGAGGGACACTCTATCTCAAGAAAAGAAAAAAGAAGAAAAGAATGTTTGTGGCAACAACTTTGTAATTTTGAAAAAGTGGAAACAGCATAAATGCCCATCAACAGGAGAATGGATAAACTGTGGTATATGTATACAATTGAATACTATACAGTTATAGAAGGAACAAACAGGATCTACATAATTCAACATAGGTGAACCTCATAAACAAAACACTGATTAAAAATTGTATTGCAAGTGGACAAAGCAGTATGATAATATTTGTAGCAAATTTTCAAACATACAATGAAATACTATATAGCACTTAAGGATGAATATATGTACTAAAAATATAAAGAAATGCACAGGAACACCAAATACCAAATGTATGACAGAGATTACTCAGGAAGCAAGGATAGACATGTGGAAGTAATGACTGTGATTGGGGAAAGAAACACAGTGGAATTCAACTGCTCTGTGATCCTACTTTATTTCTGAAACTGAGTATTAAATATATTGTTTTGTTTTAGAATTCTTTATACATTTTATAAGTCTGAAATATTGCATGTGGATTTTTTTAAAGAGATGTGTAAATCACACCCTGCCAATTTCCCAAACCATATTCAAGCAGGGCAACTCTTCATCCCTTTGCAAGCCATATGGCAAAACTGGAGGGATTACAAAATCTCTGCAGAGATGGAGCTTGCAATGGCTCCATGGTGATAATGTCATTTAGAACCAAAGGTCTGGAGCTGAGGAATCAATCAGGATGAGGGCAGGCAAAAAAGAACAGGACATTTTTCCCACCCTTGGCAATATGAACTGAGGCCAAGTAGGGGAGCAGTAGTGTTGTTGCTCCACCAAACAACTGTGACTGTCCTCAGCTGTCCAGTGAACAGCAGGCTTGTCCTGTCTCATTTGCAGCATGTCTTGGGTGCTCAAATACAGACTGGGAGGATTGAGTTCAGTTCTTGGTATTTAAAAGGACTCCTAAAAGCAATAATAGACAAAGACTTTCATCCTCACTCCCACCAACTCCTCCCAATCAGAATTAGAAAAAAAAAAAAACACAGATCTGACTCCCTGCTTAAACCCTCTTTTATATTCCCATTAGTTTACAATCGAGGCCAAATTCCATAGACTAGCATTCATGCTATATAAGGAGGCCCTACTACTATGACCTTTACTACTTCTCCCTTCCCGCACCCCAGACACACTAGACTATTGACAATGCCATGCACCATTTGAAAACAGGAATCGTAAGTCTTTTGGCTTCTTTTTCCAGATTGCTTTAGCCATTCTGCATTTCCATATGAATTTTAGAATCAGCTTGTTAATATGCAAACAAGGCAGTGATATTTTGATAGAAATTACATTTGCTCTGTAGGTCAACTTGGAGAGTATTGACATCTTAAAAATATTGTCTTCCAATCCACCAACATGGGATGTCTCCATTTATTTAGCTCTTCTTTTATTTTTTCAATGATATTTTATTGTTTTCTGTGTATCAGTTGAGGTTCTTTTGTTAAACATATTTACTTAATATTTTATTTTTGACACTACTGTAAATGAAATATTTATTAATTTTATTATATTATTTCTAGTGTATAGAAATACAACTGATTGTGTATATTAATCTTGTATCCTAAAATCTTGCTGAATTAATTAGTTCTATTATTTGTGTGTGTGTGTGCATGTTCCTTAGGATTTTTTACATACAAGATCATGTCATCTGCCAATAGTTTTACTTCTTTCCAGTCTAGATGCCAATTATTTCTAATGATATTTAAATAATAAAAAACAATATTTATATGTACTCATAATAGTGACCAATTCTTATGCTCTTCCATAGTTTTGTAGATCCATATTTTGATCCATCATTTCCTTCTGCCTGAAGGACTTCCTTTAACATTTTTTTTTGTAGTGCAGATCTTGCTGATGATCAATTCTTTCAGTTTTTGTACGTCTTAGTCTATTTAGTCTATTTCACCTTCATTTTTGAAATATCTTTTCACTCGCTATAGAATTCTAGGTTAGTAGCTTTCTTCTTTCAGTATCATAAAGACATTGCCCAATTACTTCTTGATTGCATTGTTTCCAAAGGAAATCTGCTGTCATCCTTATCTATGTTTCTCTGTATGTAAGGTGTTTTTCCCCCCTCTGGCTATGTTTAACATTTTCTTGTTATCACTAGTATTGAGCAATTAATTTATAATATGCCTTGATAAAGTTTTCTTTATGTTGTTGTGTTTGGGATTGTTTGAGCTCCTTAGATCGGAGGGGTTTTAGTGTTTTAGTTTTCATCAAATTTGGGAAAGTTTTGGTCATTTTTTCTTCAAATGTTTTTAGTCCACTTTTCTTAAAATAAGGTACAGTTATTTGATCTGAATCACCTAACAGACAGAAGATTGGCAAAAGACTCTACTTATCTAGAACCTACTCCAGATGCTACACCTAAATGAGCCATGTGATTGTGTAAGTCATATAACTTCTTTAAACTTCAGGGGTTTTTTCACTTCTAAAATGATGTGTCTAGCTAACATTAATGAGCCTTACACCTCTTACATTAAAACCACCATGGGTTATGTTTTGAAACTCCTGAAACAGCAACATAGCAGTGGGGATAGGAATAAAGTCACTTTTTTGAAAAAGTGATGAAAGTTTGGAATAATCCCCGTGGAGAAAGGGAGAGCGAGCTGACCAGGGATATGTAAAAGATACACTTGAGTTGCTTAGGAACCAGCTGAGAATAAGATTCATGGGTATCCACTTTATGAAGATGTAGCTTTTCTCCAATTGCTCTCAGAAAATACTTAACTTATATGTTATGTCTACTATGTTCCAGTGGCTGGAGAGCCAATATTAGTTGAGAGAATGAACAAATGAAGAAAAGATCATCAGATGAGAATGAAGGCTTGTACTAATTACCTCTAAAGTTTCTTTCAACCACAGAGTCTGCATTCTTGTGGAGCAAAAGAACAGATGTGCAAGGGTTATGAGAACAGAGAATAACGAGAAATTGATTTTACATCAGAAGAATCAAGGCGGCTTGATGAAGACAGGAGCTGAGGCTTGATGTGTGCATGCCATTTGATGGATTAGTCTTACTGTGTATATCACAATCAACAATCAAAAAATAATCCCAGAAGCTTGGTACTCAACTCCAGAAACCTGAAGACTTATGTGAAGGTATTATCTTTACTGTAGGTTTTCTTAAATTGCTGGAGCTGAAGGTTTCACATAATTCTTCAAGCATAACTTTCTGGAACTCCTGTTTAGACACATAAATTTCTCTTCTAAATCTTCCATTCACAGTAACTACAAAAAAAAACTCTCCATCTTGCCTCAGTACACTCCTCTCTCCATGCCATCATTCTCTAGCCCTGCCTTCTCACACAGTTCCAGACAGCAATGGCTAGCACAGCTTCCACTCCCACCCTCCAGATGAGCAGACCCTGCCTGGTCCTCCCTTTCCCCATGCAAGGGAATTGCACAGAGCTCTCTAGGAAGTGTGAGTCATTTCTCACTCTGATCATTTTTCTCTGAAATATTCTTGTGAATAATTCTGCTGAAAAAAACTCCTCTCCTTTGCAATGTAGTAAAAATACTTGAAGGGTCAAATAAATGCAGTAGCTTAAAAATTAAATTAAATATATAGATTGTTAAAAGTATACCTAATCAGCCAGGTGTGGTGGCTCATGCCTATAATCCCAGCACTTTGGGAGGCCAAGGTGGGCAGATCATGAGGTCAGGAGTTTGAGAGCAGCCTGGCCAACATAGTGAAACCCCCATCTCTACTAAAAATACAAAAAATCAGCTGGGCCTGGTGGTGAGCACCTGTAATCCCAACTACTTGGCAGGCTGAGGCAGGAGAATCGCTTGAACCTGTGAGGCAGAGGTTTCAGTGAGCTGAGATCACGCCATTGCACTCCAGCCCGGGCGACAGTGCGAGACTGTCTCAAAAAAAAAAAAAAAAAAAAAAAAAAAAAGAAGTATACATAATCTATTGATGATTTGATAAAGGGGATGGGTTGGATAGAGACTACTGTAATTTTCCCCCTTGCCACTGGCTATGAGTCCTGTTTCCACTAAATTAGGTCAGCAGATAGATTGCCTACTATTCTAAATATGATGTCCGTGTTTTATACCACATCATCATAGGCATTAAGTATCACCCTTTTTCTTTCTCCTTAAACATTTGTGTGTATAGCAGACTTCTCTGAACATTTGAAAATAAGAAAGGAGATACATCACAGATAATTTAACATTTAATATGCAGCTTCAGTGTTCTTAAAAGTCCCTTGGCTATTTCTAACAACTCAACACAGATCTCTTTAGAAGGCAGGAGGAGTACCCCAAAGTGAAAAGTGATTGGAAGAGGAAAGATTTTAAAGAGTCATGGATATATAGTCATTAGACTGGAAAACCCTAATGGCTATGAGTCTTTTAAGAAAGAAGCAAGATGCAAGAAAACAAGAAGCAAGATGAAAATTGACCTTACACTGAAGATCTTCAACCAAATTAACTGCTTGTCCTGTTTTATCTTATAACATTCAAAATGTTCAGAGAAAAATATAATGGGGACTTGCGGATAATTCTTTGAACTGTAATGTGATATTGTGAAATACATGTTTGGTCTTTGACCCCATTTCCTTCTATATGACTCCTAAATTTCTTAGAATCTCCAAAGTGATGTCTGTTTGCTTGCTAACAATTGACTGATGGGTGGCAACCCCTAGGTAGCTTCAAGATTGTAACTTCTAGGGCTGGTCACCACAAATACCAAGGCAGGATTCGAAGGTTGGGACTTTCAGCCCCACCCTTCCCAACATCCAAGCAGCAGAGAGGGGCTGAAGGTTAAGTTGATCACCAATGTCTAATGATTTAATCAATCATGCCTACATAATGAAGCTTCCATAAAAACCTAAAATGACTGGGTTCAAGAGCTTCCAGATAGCCAAACACATGGAGGTTCCTGGAGGGTGGCATGCCCAGGGAAGCCTGGGAAGCTCCATTCTTCTTCCCCCATACCTTGCACTATAGATCTCTTCATCTGTATTCTTTGTGGTATCCTTTATAATAAACCAGTAAATCTAAGTAAGTTTCCCTGGGTTCTGTGAGCAGCTTTAGTAAATTAATCAAACCCAGAGCAGGGGCCATAGGAGCTGCAGCTTGGAGCTCGTCAGTTAGAAGTTCCAGAGTTCTAGACTTGGGACTGGTGTCTCAGGAGGCAGTCTTGGAGACTGAGTCCTCAACCTGTGGTATCTGACACCATCTCTAGGTAGACAGTGTTGGAACTGAATTACAGGACACCCCCCTGGTGACTGCTGCAGAACTGATTGTTTGCTTGATGTGTGGGAATAACACCCCACACACATTTGGTCATGAAAGTGTTCTGTGATGACTGGAGTTGTGTTGAGGGAGAGAAGAGGAAAAAGCACTCTGAGTGAGTGTGATTCTCCACTCACAATTCCGTATGTCTAAATCCATTGTTTTCAGTAGAATTTCAGTGTGAAATTTGTCATCAGCTTTCACACTGCTTTAGGAAACATAATGCAAAAGCAGAGAAATAGAAAGTACCTCAAAAATGTGCACTAAATTTCAAAGTCACTTAGATTTTAATACATTTCTGTCTAGTTTTTACTAGAAGAGATATATCAGTCTAGTTTTCACTAGTTTTATTTTCCTTCCAATCTCTCTGAATAAGTATTTCCACATACATAGACTTATATCTGATATTGTTATGTTGTATTATAAGTGTATAGATCAATTGCTATTTCAAATAATCCTCATAAGACCCATGGAGCTAAAGAAGAAAGGAGAGTGGTGGTTCCTATGTTGCGATTAGGGAAACTAAAGCAGAGAGGGGTTAAATGCCGTCCTTACCACAAGGTCACAGAGAGAATGTGTGCCATGGTGGGAGAAGGAAGGGGCCGTTCCTTCATCGCATACTGTTTTATATGTTAACCATCATGCGCATACTAAGTCAATGGATGCTGGCACTTTACATAAATATATGATGATGCAGTGCTATATGCAATAAAATCTGAGGCAAGAAATGTGGAAGCAATTCAAGAAAACAGATCTCACATTTTTGCCTTTGTCAGAGTCAGAATCTGACATGCTCTGATTAAAATTCAACATCTGCAGGCATTTAAAATTAAAATATACAGGTATTCATGTTTTCCTCCTTCCACAATGTTTTATTGCTGCTTTTTTCATCTTTAATATTAAAAACATTACATTATTTTATTTCATATGTCAAATTCCTTGTCTCTGTATATTACATGTTGCCCTTTTACCCCTGAGCTCTGGTTCAAATCCAGCTCTTAGCTGAGGAAATAAAAAACATCTGAAAATATTTAGTAGACTCATCTCAAGGACTAACGGACTACGGTTTACATTAACTTGACAAACACAACAAACAAACAGATTTTCCACAAATTAAAAATGTTTACATGAAAACATTCAGGAACGAAGAGTATGTAAGGACCTCTCAGACAGATCTGAGGCTGTGCTTTTATTTCACAGAGAATTTGCAACAAAATTGAGAAAATCTGGGCTTCACCTGTCCCACCCAAAGCAGGTGAAAAGTGAGGGACCTGGATTGTAGAAATCCTCCTCTGCCATTTTGTGGTGTGGAAGACTGAAGTTTGGAAGGGCTCAGTGGACGGGAAGATAAGAGAAAGCAGCCATAAAATAAATCGTCAGCTGTATCACATTACTTTTTTGTTCATGAGAAAATTATTTATTGAGGCATGCACTGCATTAAAACACTTTGCCAGGTACTATTTCATTGGCGCCTTCCAGTAAGTCAGAAAAGTAAAAGTCAACCTGGTTTAAAGACAAATCAAAGAAAAAGCCTGTTCAATGCTCTTGAACTTTTGTAAACATGTTCATATCCATCCATGATTTAAAAACAAGGAGACAATAGGCCATTTAATGTTAAATCTGCCACCTTCCCCAGGAGTTGGTAATCAAGTGCCTTCAATGGCAAGGGGATGAATGAGTAGGCAGTGATGAGTTGTGGAAGACAGAAGAGGATATGCCCAGTATAAAGGCATTTTGATTTTTAAAAATTGTAAATGCTGTGTAATTCAAAGAAAATATATGTGCAGGTCACCAGTGTAGAATCCCTGCCCTACAGCTGCTCTCGAAGTCCATTTGACCCCAACATCACCCTTTCAAAGGGTCCAGTCTCTGTCTCTTCCCCTACCCCGTCTCCTCCCTCTCCTGTAGCCTCTTCTTCAGGAAGCATCTGGTCTAAACAATTGCAACTACAAATAAAAGAGGTAACCCAAATCTCAAGTAGAAATGCAGGGTACACCAAAGTCCCTTGGGGAATCTTAAAATGCATATTCCCAGGCCTCACTCCCAGAGAGTCTAATACTGAATATTTAGCACAGGGCCTGAGAATATGCATTTTAAAGGCTTGTTTGATGATGCTGATGCAGGTAGCTCAAGGACCACACTCTGGGGGAAACTTTATGCTGTGCTGTGGAACTGACTATCTGTTCTCAATAGATGTATCAAGGTGATGGGGAGAGACCAACACAGTGCAAACACTCGTCCCCCATCATTGCTGCCTTTCCTCTGCCTTTAGGGCCTGCAATCTAACAAGGTTTCATCAAGGACCAGAATTCTAATTGACAGAGGATCTGGTATGGCTGGAGAGAAAACAGCATTTCAGGTGAGGCAGAGCAGTAACAAATGGTAACAAGCTACATTCCAGCTTAAGTTTCTCTGAGCTGACAACTCACACCCTCCATCAAATCCACTCTTACCAGCACATTCTAGAGTTAAATGACTCCACTGGCAGAAAGTCCTGCCTCCCAGCTCACCTGCATAGTGCATACTTGAAATTTGGAGCCGTTTTTTGTTGTTTTTAATTCTGCACTCAACAGCAACAGGGACATCAAACACCATCCTCAGATAGTTGAGAACCATTTATGCAGTGTTAAGTAACACACTCAGAAAGGCCATGGTAAGGGAAATGCTAAGTTCAAGTATGCTCTGAATCAAGATTTTGCATGAATTCTTCCATGGTTTGAATTCCTATTTATAATAACAGTTTGGAAGGTCTTCCATAGGTCCTTTCAGCTTTCAGTAGTACAACTTGGAAATAGTTTATTCTCTCATAACTCATATGGGAAGTGTCTGCCAAGCCTCAAACAGTCTTTTTTTTTCCCTGACAAATACTTCAAGACAGGGCTGCACTCAAGCATTCAAATTTGGTAGCATTAACTCTAGTAACATAACTCTGACAGTCCACTTAAGGAGGGGAGAAAAATCATAAAACCCTTCTGCTTCACTTAATTTAATGTTTGACAAGTCCCTTAAAGAATAACTGGGATATTCTCACCAAATGCTTTAAGTCCTGTTTTTACCACATCTGTCCCTGGAGTTTGTTCATGGACATCTTATGATATAATAAATCCTTCTTTCCTGACACCCAGCCCCCAAACAAGGAATGTGTTAGACAGACGGTATTAATCACTGGGTGGCAATCTGATTTCGAGGCAGATATCGTGTGACAGGAGAATGGCATGCTTCATTTTGCATTGTCCTCACCACAAGATGCCTTTTAGTCAAAGCTGGTCAGGTGAGAACAAATATTTTTCTCTATTTAAGAATTTAATGGGATCAGCCCAAATTCAGTTCATGAACTCAACTTAGTCACATGTGATTGTGGCTAGACATCAAATCCAGCAACAGAGGCTGGATTTCTGTAGTGGAGAATAAAATGGGGATAATTGTGGTGTTTTTTTCCCTGTGGTCTTCTATGTATCCTGGTAGGCATTCCAAAATTGGAAAATTGGTATTTTTCTGATGTTGGACATTGCTATTTGAGTCAGTCACATTATGCAGATGCATTTCAGACTTTCTGTAGAGAGTTTTGTTGTTAGAAAAACTATCCTACTAAGTAGGATCAAAGGCACTTTCTCTTGCAGAGTAGTTTTCAAGGAGAAGATAAAAGCAATTTTTATTGGTAAAAGCTAACTCACATTTAGTTAACCAACAAGCCAACCGGAAATCATTTATTGAGCCTCTCTTATTGCCATTATACTGTAACTCTATAACAGTATAACAATACAATAGGACCAGTCCTTACTTTCCAGAACTACAAAATCTGGGTAAACAGACAAGACTTACTTAGGGTGAGGGAACAATTATAACTCCCATATTCAGCCCTGTGTATGCTTGGTCCATGATAGATATTTAATCATTTCTTACATATACAATAATTGACTGCTAAACTTTAAGGTACAAATAATAAATTCTGGTCATCAGACAAGAGATAATGTGAGGTTTTCTCAAGCTTCTTTGACCATGGAACCCAGCTTTCAGGAAGCTCTTCAGGTAATCATGTTCCATAGAACTTGCTTTGGGAACTTTGGCTCAAATGCACATGGGAGAGGTGGAATTCCTACTATATGAATTCCAGGAAGAGGAGCAAAGAATTAAATGGATGGAAATGAGGGGAGAATCGAGGCAGAGAGAATAACAAAAACATAAGGTGAGGACAAAATTAACCTGAAGCATGGGGAGGTAAAAAATTTTTACCTTTTATAATTGAAATCATTAGAGAATTAAGTGGCTTTTACAATATTCTATATTTCTAAATAGCATCTGTTTTAGCTGAAATAGTGAAAGCCTGAGGGAGGCAAACTTGTGACAGTACAATAAACAATTGGTTTTGTATTCTTATGGAAAACTAGCAATCAGTGAAACCATGTTTAGGGTGCAGAGCACAGACCACCATGCCCAATAGTCTCATAGTTCTCTATGTAAGCTTCTGTAGAAAACAGGGATAGGGGATGGGTGGGGGGACCTGAGGAGGAACATGGGGAAGAAGGGGAAAGTCTTATTTTTTGTACCTTTTTCTAAAGTAGGAGATGCCAATATGACATTTGTGACTCTAGATGTTTTTGTTTCTTCACTGATTTTTCTATATTTTATAATGGCCTTCTAAGGGCATTATCATTTCTTACCATCTCTTTTACTTTCTTTCTTTCTTTTTTTTTTTCCTGGCTGTTTCTTCTTCCAAATGAATCTTCAGGAAAATTCAGGTTTGCTACAGGATTTAGACAACTTTTTCTGTTCTGTCTTGAATGTGCAATTAATCAGTTGTGTGTTGAGCGAATCTCCTAAATTTCTTTATTTCAGCTTCCTCTTTTGCAATAAAGGAGGTGAACTGGAAGATGGTCTCTAAAATCTTATCCTCCCTACTAAAAGAGCCATTTTTGATATTGAGACAACCCCTGTCAAACAAAGAAAATCCACACTCCACCTAAGCCCTGTCCCAGTGATCACTGCCACCTGGGGGCAGCCCTTTTGCTGTGTTTATGGCCTTTCCACAAAGTTCCATCACTACACTCAATCAGCCTATATTCTTATGGTGTTTCTGCAGGTCTGTCTTTTCTACTACAATGTGAAGTGCTTGATTCAGGGGCCATATGTTTTTCATATTTTCTTACCTAGTCTTACTCCAGGAGGCAACACTCCAATGCAATATGGCCTAGTGGTTAAGAACCTGGTGATTTCAGTCTTGGCTCAGCCACTTACATGTTGTATGGCCTTTGGAAAATTGCTTATGCTCCCTTTGCCTCTGTTTCTTCACCTGTAAAGGGAGGATAAAAATAATAGCTTTTACTTTGTGATCCCATTTAACAAACACAGAGCACAAGGCACGGTGATTAAAAAAAAATAGCTTATTTTCAGTAACCAACACATACCAAATGACAAAATCTTTGAATAAAGGAATAAGTCTACCAAAAGGAAGTATGGGAATGGATTGGTGGATTGGTTTTATATTTATAAAACCAATGTTATTATATATATTTACACACATACACATATATATGTTTTCCCTGCAAATTTTATATATAATATGTTAATGTGTATATATTATTTGTATATATTAATATATTTGTATGTCTATTGTTTATATATTAATATATGTGTGTGTATATATAAATATATATAATTCGTAGGGAAAACAAAGTTGAATAAGACATAAATTTCATGCCACTATGAAAATTACAGTCTAGAAGGGAAATTAAGACACACACACGAATAAATAAAATGCTAGATAAAATCAGTACTCCATAAGAAAAAGCAAAGTGTAGCAATAGTTCAGAGGAGAGGAGAAGATAAATGATTTCTAACAGAGGGATCAGTAAAGGCTCTGTGGCTGAGCTGATATATCTTTCAACATAATAGAACTGTGTTTACACAGCATCTGTTTCATCAACTCCCTTAGAATTCTCCCTCATGATTTAAAAAAAAAAAAATCCTCCTTTACAATACATAGAAATGGAGACTTAGAGGGTTAAATTTGTTACTTGTTTAGGGCTAATAACTTAAATTCCAATATGTTTTGAACAACAAGGACAGGGGATGGGTATTCCCAAAGGGTGGTTTACTATTTTGTGCAACCAGAAAATTTTTGCTGCCAAGCACCAAAGGCATATTCATGAGCGTAACACCAGGAGAGCAGCCAAGGCCCCACTTGAGCTGCTTTTATTGTTTGTCTAAAGTGGATGTTTATCCAAGCAAACTGCATTGTGTTCCAAAAGGAGATTCATCATACTTGTCTTTGTGGTTACAGAGCAGGAATCAAACTGATGGGGTGATGGGTGCCTGGGCCAAAAGCAGAGATGCTCCAGATCAGAGACCCCTCCCTTTGCCTGGTCCTTTTCAAGAACAAGAAAATCTTTGGAATGAAAATGCAGTGACTGACCTTAAAGGAACCCATACCCAGGGTTTTACTTTCAGGGAGTTTTGGACACTTGGGAAACCCAGCTCAGCCACTGGGAGCTTTCATGCAAACCACATAGAGTGCAGAACCAGTTTACGTTTGTCTAACATGTAAAGTCTTCTCAAATTCTCCAGAATTAAATCACATTTGGGAAGTTTGGGTGATTCTGGAGTACACAGCCCAGATTTCCAAACCCAGCACATACATGCAAATGGAAACATGGCCAAAGCATTCCTAACTGCATCAAGGTTATTGTTAAGTAGTTTCTGAAAGTTAAATCCATACATTTCTCAAATTTGAGCCAAAATACATTCCTGTCCTTAAAAGTTCATGAGGTTATTTGAGGTGTGACTTTTCAACTAGCCCTATATTTGAAATGATGATCTTGCCTTTCAGTGCCTCAAATAACACATTAGGTTGGTTTCAAATGACCAAATCTGAGTCAAGTGCAGATTTTTTTTTCTTACAGTATTTTATTATGCTGCCCAGGCTGGACTCAACCTCCCAGGTTCAAGATATCCTCCTGCCTCAGGCTTCAGAGTATCTGGGTCTACAGGCATGCATCACTATGCCCAGCTTAAAGTGCAAAGTTTTAAGACGTTAGCCTAGTGCCAGCCCCTAAGAATATATCCAGGGTCTTCAGTGTGAATGAGCACCCTTCTTTCCTCACGGGGCCCTCATGCCATCTCACCCCAAGTTCCCTCAGGGAAATTAATTTCAAGTACCATCTTCCCAGGCTGCCCCTACAACCATTTTGACAGATGACTGTCCCATCCCTTTCCTCTTCTTCCCTGCAGTTCTGGAAAAGGATGATGTCTTTATCTCCAGAAATATTGACCTCTTTAAGTACCTGAATTGAGAAGGTCTTTCCTTCTCCCTAAAGGGAGATTTGCCGTAGTCCTATATTCTCTCCCTGGCAGCAACTTTTCCAGTTCTTTCTCCTTGTATCTAGAACATATACTCATGTCTGTCTATTTTTTAAGCAGTTATAACTTTGTTATACTCCTCATTTTCATGATCTATCATTTATTGATAATATGTGCTAAGCTCTTTATGTACTATTTTACTTAATTGTCACATGATACTATGTTAAATATTACTGTCTTTGCAGACTAACCTTCAAAGCTCACCTCCTCGGATGAGTAGTCAAATTCTACTGTCTGGTTACTTTGTGCATTCCTCTTTGTTTACTATGATCTGTTTCTGTTCTGTTCCTATCGTTCTTCTAAAACCATTCCCACAAATGCCTTCAGATAAAGTTGATACATACACACAAACACACACTGTTTTATCCCTGAAGATCCTGGGAGTATTTTGCATTCCAATAACCTGTTTCTCCTTGATTGCTGCCTCGGAAATCCTGCAAGCCAAAGCCCTTCCTCCTGTACTGACTCTCTTAGGTTGTTTAGTTGCTCTAAGCATTTAGTTATCATCGAAGATGTTTGAACTGACACTCAGGCCTAAAGCACTATCTCAAGCTTCTCTTCAATTTGCTAAGACACTATTTTCCAACATTCAGACACAAATATCTTTAATATTTCTATATTGATATCCATTTAGGAAAACATGTAAACTATCTATTGAATTCAAGGTTCCATTGCTGCTTAGGAAATATTTAGGATTTTTAAAAAGTGAGCTAACAAAAATTAAGTAAACAAGAGCAAAGTTAGTATGCAGACCTGGGGCAAAAATTGTAAGGGTGATATTCAAATTATAAAAACTGTTATACCGTCTTGTTCTATTGTCAAGAAGGAAGTGGACCCCCAAATTCCTAATTATATTTCCCTTTCTCTCAGTCTTTAAATCTTTCTATTTTACCTATTGCATTCAACCTATTATATCCTCTAACTTCTCAGTATTCTAAACTTGCAACCTTGAAATTCCTCTATTTTCTTCATTTTCTATATGCAGTCTGTCTCCAAGTTTTGCCAAACATTCTGTAATCATATTTTTCTATATGTCTCTCAATTTGTAAACCCATGGGCAATATTCCAGTAAAAAAAAAAAAAGATGGTAGAACAACTTTCTAACTTATCTTCCAGTAAAAGTTCTTCAAGAGCCATCTTAAATTACATGCTCAGTAAAAGACTCAGCAAAAATTTGTAGCCACATAGCAACTATTGCTCCGTCCTCCATTTTCTTTGCCATGGAAGCTGGGAGAATGCCATTTACAGAAACGCTTGATAGCGAGGGAGAGACATTTACAGGGGTAGGCTGTCTCAAACTTCCAGTAGTCATATCAGGACAAGTCACACTGCCTTTCTTTCCCAAAGGCTTGCCTTCAGCTTGTTGCCTACTCCTGCCCCATCATCATGCCTGTATCCATAATAACTTCCTTGAGTGGCCTTTCACAGCCAGCTCCTCCTCCACTATCCACTATGGTGTTTAGCCTGCTACTTCCCCTTGTCAGTTCTGCCACACCCAACCCTCTACTAACCTGTGTAATCACAACCTGTGGAGCTCCCAAGTTACTGAGGTCCACTCTTCTAAAGTTGTTCCCTCCGTCTCATGCTGATTTCTCAAGCTGATATCATTTCTTTTACAGTTCTCAGATGAGGCTGCTGCTACCTGAGTCTCCTCCAATGCTCTCCACCTCCTTGTCTAGAGCTTCAAACCGTAATTTGTTTCCCTAACCACTCAGCAAACTCTCCTACTGAAGTCTACCATATTCTGTTATACCATCCTCTTTACTAATTTCAGATTTCTACTATTCTCCTCACATGCTTTCATGCTCCTAAGAGGTTCCAGCACCTGTTGGAATGTTTTTCTTCACCTTATACAAGGCCACTGGCCTTGTTAACTTTAATATCCAGCACCATGTACTTTTCTCACCCTTCTTAATTTCATCTCTCTGTCACTTGACATAGCTGACTCTAACCCAGTCCTTGAATCCAAGTCCTCCTTTGTTTTTGTGACACTCATCATTCCGATCCTTCATTTTTCATGCTGACCACTTCTTTTTGCTCTCCTTTTCTAGTTCTTTCTGCTCTGTTCCCTAAATTCATGTGTACTCCAGGATTCTGTCTTCGTTTCCTTTTTTTTTTGTCTTTACACTTTAGAAATAACTATTCTAATAAATCTAACCATTAATTCTACACTAACTCTGTAGTTCTGACACTTTATCAAGGCTTGGTGGCCAGTTCCACCTACATGTGTTTTTGGCATCTCAATATGTCATCCATTCCTCTTATTTCTGTTACTGGCAAAAACATTTTTCCAGTCATCCAAGTTAAAAACCTGACAATCATTACTGCATGCCCCTTTTCAATCCCGGGCCAAATCTATCAGTCCCTGCTAATTTTTTGTTCCTGTTTTACCCTTTCAACTGGTCTCATTCTTTTTATTTGTGTCCTTAAAATGTGAATACCAAGTAACTGGCAAGATGGCCAAATAGGAACAGCTCCAGTCTGCAGCTCCCAGTGAGATCAGCGCAGAAGGCAGGTGATTTCTGCATTTCCAACTTAGGTACGCAGCTCAGCTCATTGGGACTGGTTAGAAAGTGGGTGCAGCCCACAGAAGGTGAACTGAAGCAGGGTGGGGCATCACCTCACCTGAGGAAGTGTAAGAGGTCAGGGAACTCCCTCCCTTAGCCAAGGAAGCCTTGAGGGACTGTACCATGAGGAATGGTGCACTCTGGCTCAGATACTACACTTTTCCCACAGTCTTTGCAGTCCACGAACCAGGAGATTCCCTCAGGTGCCTACGCCACCAGGGCCCTGGGTTTCAATCACAAAACTGGGCGGCCATTTGGGCAGACATTGGGGTAGCTACAGGAGTTATTTTTTTGTTTCATATTCCAGTGGCACCTGGAATGCCAGCAAGACAGAACCATTCACTCCCCTGGAAAGGGGGCTGAAGTCAAGGAGCCAAGTGGTCTAGCTCAGCAAATCCCACCCCCATGGAGCCCAGCAAGCTAAGATTTACTGGCTTGAAATTCTTGCTGCCAGCATAGCAGTCTGAAGTCAACCTGGGATGCTTGAGCTTGGTGCGAGGAGGGGTATCCGCCATTACTGAGGCTTGAGTAGGCAGTTTTCCCCTCACAGTGTAAACAAAGCCACAGGGATGTTTCAACTGGGCAGAGCCCACCGCAGCTTGGCAAAGCTGCTGTAGCCAGACTGCCTCTCTAGATATCTCTTCTCTGGGCAGGGCATCTCTGAAAGTAAGGCAGAAGCCCCACTCAGGGGCTTATAAATAAAACTCCCATCTCCCTGGGACAGAGCACCTGGGGGAAGGTGTGGCTGTGGGTGCAGCTTCAGCAGACTTAAACATTCCCACTTGCTCTGCTAAGGGACAGACTGCCTCCTCAAGTGGGTCCCTGATCCTTGTGCCTCCTTACTGGGAGACATCTCCCAGCAGAGGTCTACAGACACCTCATAAGGCAGACCTCTGGCTGGCATCTGGTGGGTGCCCCTCTGAGACAAAGCTTCCAGAGACAGGAACAGACAGCAATCTTTCCTGTTCTGCAGCCTCCGCTGGTAATACCCAGGCAAATGGGGTCTGGAGTGGACCTCCAGGAAACTCCAACAGACCTGCAACAGAAGGGCCTGACTGTTAGAAGGAAAACTAACAAACAGAAAGGAAAAGCATAAACATCAACAAAAAGGACAGCCACACAAAAACCCCATCCAAAGGTCACTAACATCAAAGACGAAAGGTAGATAAATCCACAAAGATGAGGAAAAACCCGTGCACAAAGTCTGAAAATTCCAAAAACCAGAATGCCTCTTCTCCTCCAAAGGATCACAACTCCTTGACAGCAAGGGAACAAAACTGGACGGAGAATGAGTTTGACAAGTTGACAGAAGTAGGTTTCAGAAGGGGGGTAATAAATTCCTCCGAGCTAAAGGAGCATGTTCTAATCCAATGCAAGGAAGCTAAGAACCTTGAAAAAAAGTTAGAGAAATTGCTAACTAGAATAACCAGTGTAGAGAAGGATGTAAGTGACCTGACGGAGTTCAAAAACACAGCACGAGAACTTTATGAAGCATACACAAGTATCAATAGCTGAATCCATCAAGCAGAAGAAAGGATATCAGAGATTGAAGATCAACTTAATGAAATAAAGAATGAAGACAAGATTAGAGAAAAAAGAATGAGAAGGAATGAACAAAACCTCCAAGAAATATGTGACCATGTGAAAAAATAAAACCTACATTTGATTGGTGTACCTGAAAGTGACCGGGAGAATGGAACCAAGCTGGAAAACACTCTTCAGGATATTATCCAGGAGAACTTCCCCAACCTAGAAAGACAGGCCAACATTCAAATTCAGGAAATACAGAGAATACCACAAAGATACTCCTTGAGAAGAGCAACCCCAAGACACATAATCATCAGATTCACCAAGGCTGAAATGAAGGAAAAAATGTTAAGGGCAGCCAGAGAGAAAGATTGGGCTACCCACAAAGGGAAGCCCATCAGACTAACAGCCCATCTCTCTGCGGGAACCCTACAAGCCAGAAGAGAGTGGGGGCCTATAGTCAACATTTTAAGGAAAAGAATTTTCAACCTAGAATTTCATATCCAGCCAAACTAAGCTTCATAAGTGAAGGAGAAATACAATCCTTTACAGACAAGCAAATGCTGAGAGATTTCATCACCACCAGACCTGCCTTACAAGAGCTCCTGAAGGAAGCACTAAATATGGAAAGGAAAAAACAGTACCAGCCACTGCAAAAACATACCAAATTGTAAAGACCATCAACACTATGAAGAAACTGCATCAACTAATGGGCAAAATAACCAGCTAGCATCATAATGACAGGATCAAATTCACACATAACAATATAAACCTTAAATGTAAACAGGCTAAATGCCCCAATTAAAAGACACAGGACTGGCAAATTGGATAAAAGGTCAAGCCCCAATGGTATGCTGTATTCGGGAGACCCATCGCACGTGCAAAGACACACATAGGCTCTAAATAAAGGGATGGAGGAATATTTACCAAGCAAATGAAAAGCAAAAAAAAAAAAAGCAGGGTTTGCAATCCTAGTCGCTGATAAAACAGACTTTAAACCAACAAATCAAAAAAGACAAAGAAGGGCATTACATAGTGATAAAAGGATCAATGCAACAAGAAGAGCTAACTATCCTAAATATATACGCACCCAATACAGGAGCACCCAGATTCATAAAGCAAGTTCTTAGAGACCTACAAAGAGACTTAGACTCCCACACAATAATAGTGGGAGACTTTAACACCCCACTGTCAATATTAGACAGATCAACGAGACAGAAAACTAACAAGTATACCCAGTACATGAACTCGGCTCTGGACCGAGTGGATCTAATAGGCATCTACAGAACTCTCCACCCCAAATCAGCAGAATATATGTTCTTCTCAGCACCACATCACACTTATTCTAAAATTGACCACATAATTGAAAGTAAAACACTCCTCATCACAAGCAAAAGAATGGAAATAATAACAAACAGTCTCTCAGACCACAGTGCAATCAAATTAGAACTCAGGATTAAGAAACTCACTCAAAACCACACAACTACATGGAAACTGAACAACCTGCTCCTGAATGACTACTGGGTAAATAACGAAATGAAGGCAGAAGTAAATAAGTTATTTGAAACCAATGAGAACAAAGACACAACATACTAAAATCTCTGGGATACAGCTAAAGTAGTGGTTAGAGGAAAATTTATAGCACTAAACACCCACAAGGGAAAGGGGGAAAGATCTAAAATCACCACCCTAACATCACAATTAAAAGAACTAGAGGAGCAAGAGCAAACAAATTCAAAAGCTAGGAGAAGACAAGAAATAACCAAGATCAGAGCAGAACTGAAGAAGATAGGGATATGAAAAACTCTTCAAAAAATCAGTGAATACAGGAGCTGGTTTTTTGAAAATATTAACAAAATAGATAGACCACTAGCCAGTCTAATAAAGAAGAAAAGAGAGAAGAATCAAATAGACACAATAAAAAATGATAAAGGGAATGTCACCGCTGATCCCACAGAAATACAAACTACGATCAGAGAATACTATAAACATCTCTATGCAAATAAACTAGAAAATCTAGAAGAAATGGATAAATTCCTGGACACATACACCCTCCCAAGACTAAACCAGGGAGAAGTCGAATCCCTCAATAGAGCAATAACAAGTTTTGAAATTGAGGCAGTAATTAATAGCCTACCAACCAAAAATAGCCTAGGACCAGACAGACTCACAGCCAAATTCTACCAGAGGTACAAAGAGGAGCTGGTACCATTTCTTCTGAAACTATTCCAAAGATTAGAAAAAGAGATACTCCTCCCTAATTCATTTTATGAGGCCAACATCATCCTGATACCAAAACCTGGCAGAGACACAACAAAACAAGAAAATTTCAGGCCAATATCCCTGATGAATATCAATGCGAAAACCCTCAATAAAATACTGGCAAACTGAATCCAGCAGCACATTAAAAAGCTTATTCACCATGATCAAGTTGGCTTCATCCCTGGGATGCAAGGCTGGTTTAACATATGCAAATCAGTAAACGTAATCCATCACATAAACATAACCAATGACAAAAACCAGATGATTGTCTAAATAGATGCGGAAAAGGCCTTTGATAAAATTCAACACCTCTTCATGCTAAAAACTCTCAATAAACTAGGTATCAATGGAACGTATCTCAAAATAATAAGAGCTATTTATAACAAACCCACAGCCAATATCGTCCTGAATAGCAAAAGCTGGAGGCATTCCCTTTGAAAACCAGCACAAGACAAGGATGCCCTCTCTCACCACTCCTATTCAACATAGTATTGGATATTCTGACCAGGGCAATCGGGCAAGAGAAATAAAATGTATTCAAATAGGAAGAGAGGAAGTCAAATTGTCCCTGTTTACAGATGACATGATTGTATATTTAGGAAACCCCATTGTCTCAGCCCAAAATATCCTTCAGCTGATAAGCAACTTCAGCAAAGTCTCAGGATACAAAATCAATGTGTGAAAATCACAAGCATTCCTACACAGCAATAATAGACAAACAGAGAGCCAAATCATGAGTGAATTCCCATTGACAATTGCTACAAAAAGAATAAAATAACTAGGAATACAATTTATAAGGGATGTGAAGGACCTTTTCAAGGAGAACTACAAGCCACTGCTCAAGGAAATAAGAGAGGACACAAACAAATGGAAAAACATTCCATGCTCATGGATAGGAAGAATCAATATCATGAAAATGGCCATACTGCCCAAAGTAATTTATAGATACAATGCTATCCCCATCAAGCTACCATTGACTTTCTTCACAGAATTAGAAAAAAACACTTTAAATTTCATATGGAACCAAAAAAGAGCCCATACAGCCAAGACAATCCTAAGCAAAAATAACAAAGCTGGAGGCATCATGCTACCTGACTTCAAACTATGCTACAAGTCTACAGTAACCAAAAGAGCATGGTACTGGCACCAAAACAGAGATATAGACCAATGGAACAGAACACCGGCCTCAGAAATAACGCCACACATCTACAACCATCTGATCTTTGACAAACCTGACAAAAACAAGCAATGGGGAAAGGCTTTCCTATTTAATAAATGGTGTTAGGAAAACTGGCTAGCCATATACCGAAAACTGAAACTGGACCCCTTCCTTACACCTTATACAAAAATTAACTCAAGATGGATTAAAGACTTAATTGTAAGACCTAAAACATAAAAACCCTAGAAGAAAACCTAGGAAATACCACTCAGGACATACGCATGGGCAAAGACTTCATGACAAACACCAAAAGCAATGGCAACAAACGCCAAAATTGACAGTTGGGGTCCAATTAAACTAAAGAGCTTCTGCACAGCAAAAGAAACTATCATCAGAGTGAATGGGCAACCTACGGAATGGGAGAACATTTTTGCAATCTATCCATCTGACAAAGGGCTAGTATCTAGAATCTACAAGGAACTTAAACAAATTCACAAGAAAAAAAACCAAGCCCATCAAAAAGTGGGCCAAGGATATGAACAGACACTTCTCAAAATAAAACATTTATGTGGCCAACAAACATATGAAAAAAAGCTCATCATCACTGGTCATTAGAGAAATGCAAATCAAAACCACAATGAGATACCATCTCATGCCAGTTAGAATGGCAATCGTTAAAAAGTCAGGAAACAACAGATACTGGAGAGAATGTGGAGAAACAGGAACGCTTTTACACTGTTGGTGGGAGTGTCAATTAGTTCAACCATGTGGAAGACAGTGTGGTGATTCCTCAAGGATCTAGAACCAGAAATACCATTTGACCCAGCAATCCCATGACTGGGTGTATACCCAAAGGATTATAACTCATTCTACTATGAAGACACATGCACACATATGTTTATTGCAGCACTATTCACAATAGCAAAGACTTGGAAGCAACCCAAATGCCCATCAATGATAGACTGGATAAAGAAAATGTGGCACATATACACCATGGAATATGATGCAGCCATGAAAAAGGATGAGTTCATGTCCTTTGCAGGGACATGGATGAAGCTGGAAACCATAATTCTCAGCAAACTGGCACAGGAACAGAAAACCAAACACCACATGTTCTCACTCATAAGTGGGAGTTGAACAATGAGAACACATGGACACAGGGAGGGGAACATCACACACCAGGGCCTGTCAGGGGGTGGGGGGCTAGGGGAGGGATAGCATTAGGAGAAATACCTAATGTAGATGATGGATTGATGAGTGCAGCAAACCACCATGGCACATGTATACCTATGTAACAAACCTGCAGGTTCTGCACATGTATCCCAGAAGTTAAGGTATAATTTTAAAAAATGCAAAATGAATAAAATGTGAATACCATTATTATCATTTTAGAAGTAAAGGCTTGGAGGGTAAGTAACTTTACCAGCATTAGAAATCTGGTACGTGATAAGGGCAGGATTAAAATCCAGGCCAGTTTTAGGCCAGAACCTGATCGTTTCCTCTCATCAAAGGGCTTCTTTGAAAATAGCAACATTGTTACGTAAAATAATATCAAAATATGTACAATTGGAAATAAATATTTCCACTTTTATAATTCTGTCCTTTTTTAATAAAAGATCATATTAATTAATTGAGTCCTTATTTCCAAATGTCAACTCTTATAAACATATGTAAATTACAAAAGCAACTTAGGGTGAGGTTGAAGACAATCAACTTTAGAATGAAGCTTGCCATGGGTTCTACTCCCAATTCCACACCCTAATGGTGTAACCTTTGGTGTAACCTTTGGCAAGTTGCCCAATCTCTGTGTTCCTTGCTTTATCTGTGATAGCAGGGCTCACCTTCTGCAGTAATTGTGAGGCATCCATGAAATCTAATGTGGGCAAAGCACTTGACATATACTACATGCTCAAAAGAGGTGATGTGAACCAAAGCATATGTTTAGCCAGCTTTGGGTGTGTAGGAGAGGAAGATGTATTGCATCCTCTGGACGTTCATAGGTGGGAAGTACCTATGGACAAGGAGGGGCCCTGGATGACACACAGATATGGATATTCCAAATGTAGGATACAGGAAGGTACCTAAACTTGTTGATCAGCAATACCAATATTCGACTCCAATATATGATATATAGGTCTATTTACTCATAGCGTAGAGCCAGGCATACAAATAAGGTATACTCAATTATTAAATCTAAGTGCCTTCTGACTAATAAAATGATTAAATGCCAATGTCTGACTACATTCTATGACTTGAGCATCTAATCTCCAAAGTAGTTACAAATAATTAGATCTAATTCAAATTCACCTAGTCATACGAGTATGTAAGAAGTATAATCTAATTTCACGGCATAAGTGCTATCCTCTCCTCCAAGCCAAACCTTAGTCTGAATCCTTGATGCCCTATTTCATCACTTCCATCCAAATTGGATGGCTGTTCACTACTCTCCAATGGCCTTCGGGTCTTCCCCAGCACTCACCTTCTATCAACATCATCTTCCCTCACCGTAGCTATCCATCTTACTTATCCTTATAAACACAGATCTTTTTATTTCCCACCCAATAATTTTTCTCATTTTCCTTTCCATTAGGTTTAAATGCCTAAAAACTACCAACTCCTATCCATCAGCTCCTTTTCTACCTTTCTCTACAGCCCCTCCTTTGTTTTAACCAACCTCTTCATTAGTCCTTTTGTACTTTTCCTTAACTGTTTATAAATAATACCTCCTATGTGACCTACTCCACAACAAATCACCCGATCTGACTTCTCTCCATCGAAGACCTAAAAATTCCTCTTCTTCTACAAAGTCCTTCAGGGTTAAACCAAAAAAAAATAATAATAATACTTTTTCTTTAACCCAATAACTTACTCATATATTCATCCACCTGAAATTAAAAACAGTTCACTCGGCAAGTTATCTAAATATTAATTTTTTAAAATTACTAGACTTTCCACTTTACTGTCAAGTCTATTAATCCCTGCTATTTTTTTTCTTCTTGTTTTACCCTTTCAACGGGTCTCTTTCTTTTCATTCATGTCATTCATTCGTGTCATACCATTGCTTACTTGTTGTACTCTACATCTGTCCTGTTATAAAATTATTTGGGGTGACTATAAGCTATCTTAGGCAGTGAGCATCTAAAGTATTGTTCCTTAACTAGTACCTCCTAACTCTAAGAGGCATGAAGTCATCTTCAGAGAGAAATATTCACTTCTGCCAACTTCTGAGTAGGAACTTGATGGAGTGTAGACATGGCAGGAAAAAGAGATGTCACAAAGTAAAATCATATCTAAATACACTGTATATGCCTGAACATTAGGCAAAGCTTCCTCAAAACATTACCTCTTAAAACACAGTCACTTCATATTTGAGCCTTTGCCAAATATCTCATAGCATGTGGATGCCATTTAAAGGACTTTTTATAAACAACAAATGCCATTGGATGGAGATTCATTAAGCAAAACAGATATCAATTCTAGGTTTGGAAGCTTGTGGAAGTATTATAATGTGAGCAGATTTTCAAAAGGAAAAAAGTTACTATAGGCTGAGTTATTAATCCTAGGTCTTTGACAATTCTATACATTAGATATCATGTTAATGAGACTTTCAGGATTCACTTAAGTAGTTATATTAAAGGGATCACAGGGTGATATTATTTTTTAAGAAAAAATATAAATTTAATACTATACACATGGGTAGACATGGCTGGGATAAATTTCCAGAAACAGTATTACACATTCAGATTCAAAAAATGAAATAAAAGTAAAGGCAACAGTCTCTAGAAAACTATATTAAGCAATTCAAAAAATAGCTCTCAGAATGACAAAGGCTCTGATGCTCCTTGCCTGTCTCCACGATGCACATGAAGAGTTCAAATAAAAATGATCTTGTCAAATGTGAACTCAAAAAATTGGTTCTAAAATACTATATCATTATATAGAAGATGTGATTTTAATCATGTGAGATTAAATTAATGCACTAAATATCATAAGTAAATATTTAACTGAACAATATCCATTACTCTTACCATATTAAGCTAGCCAAAAGGCTTCTTTGGGGATTAGATCATGAGAAAAATGGTGTCTCACCATATATTGAGGTTGGCCTTACTTTCGGGCACCCATGGGGAGCATGACTACACATAATGTGGGTGGGGGTGGAAGGTTTGGAATGGACAGACAGCTGGATGAGGGGCTGGCTCAGGAAAAAAGAATGGTGACATATTTTCTTATTTTTTCACAGCAAGGTCACAAGTGTGTCCTGTACTAAGAAATATTGGGACACTCTGGTCTGGAGGACAAGAACTAATTCACTTGAGCTCATTTTGTTCCATTCTCAGAACGGCTAGTGCTCATGGAATATTATTCATTGATGGTTAGGATGTGCCATGAGACTGTCGACTGCAGTATCTTTCTAATTTGTTACATAACAAAAGAATGGAATCTGAAAAACACAAAAAGTGGAGAAATGTTCAGCATACTAAAATCATATGTGATACATATTTAACCCTCTTTACAAGTTTCTCTAGCTAGTTCTTTAAACCCACTGTTGGGCTTTTTCCCAGATAAAAGGCCTCCTTTTGTTGAACAATTTCAATGTATAGTCACATTTTGAATTGTTGCCAGGTAAAATTCTTGCATTAGGCTCCATGGCTGTCTGTTCCACCAAGACAAATAAGAACTGACCCAACCCCTCATTTGAGTACATTGTTCACGGTGCTGAGCAGTGATTTTCCATATCTGACTGCCTTTGTGTTCACCCCAGGAGGAAGGGTGAGCCTGGTTTATTGAGTTCTCATTTCTCACAAAGCAGCAACATCTGGAGGGCTGAGCAGTTTCTTGGCAGGTCCAGCCCGAAGGAATTGGGCCATGGTTCTGATTGGCGCTTATCAGTAGGTGTCACTAAAGACAGCTTCAGAGACAGAAAAATAAATAGGCCAATTAAGCAATGCCAAGAACAAACCATTTTATAGTCATCTCTGCTCTTTTTATTGTTATTCCAACTGCAGAAGCTTCAAGATTCTAATTATTCCCTGGCTTTTTCCCCGCCACTGCAAATGAACATTTTTCCATCTTCCAAGTATCTCCCTTTAGATTTTAAAGAGTGAGACATTTAATTAATATACTTATTTTGTGGTGCCTGATATAGTGAGTTAGCAAAATGAAAACAGATGAAGAAGATTAATTCTAACACTTTATTGCAATGAAGCTCCAGCCACTGCTCATCTGCAAACTGGCTGATTCATGCCTCACCAGCTACTTTCTCTCTGCAATATGAGACACTCAGCATATTAGGGAGCATGAGTGCATCTCACCCAGCCATGCTTTTGTGTCCCCAGAGGATGCAAGCATAGAAACTTTGGTGTGAGACCACATATTTCTGAGAAGCTTGGAGGGGGATCTTCCAGGCTGCTTCCAGGAGAGGGGCCAGACTTGTCCACAGTGGTCAGTCACAGTCAATGAAGCTCATTGGCTTTATTTTTGGTGACTAAGGTTTTTCTACCTGCAAAGACAGAAACTCAGTGGGGAACTCTAAATTTGATCTCCAAATCCAAGCGACACCACAAAACTAAGCATAGCTAAATGAGAAAAACAAGTTGGGAAACATTCAAATAGATGGACTTAATTGGTAAAATAAGCTGTGGACAATACATGGGCATGGGTCCCAGTGCCAGCACATTTGTAGCACATGGCAGATGCCCCAGACAATGTTGATGAAATGAATGAGGGATCTGCCAACTTAGAATATCAATAAACTGTTCTGTAAGGATCACAGATAGCTATGTGATAGAGGCTGTATATATGATCCTTATAGAACAGTTTATTGATATTCTAAGTTGAACAGTATGTGTGCTGTAGAACACTGTGTGTGCTAAATTTGCAAGCATTTTGATGGGTGCTTTTGTTCTTTCTAATTTTAAGAATATCCCCACTTCATCTGGTGGGTAGATTCTTGGGTTTAAAGACCAAACCAAATATTTTTAATTCCAAATTACTTACAATTACAAATGTAAAGGTAAATGACAACTAATAATAATAGCAGCTGTCATTTATTGAGTACTTTCTTTGTGCCACACTAAGTTCTGTATATTATTTCACGTAATTTCACAGCTCTAAAAGAGAGATGTGATTATTATCCCCATTCTACGTATGAGAAAACTGAGACCTAGCCCTGTTAAGTTATTTGTTCAAGAGGATACAGCTAGAAAATTGTAGAGCCAGGTTTAAGACAAGTCTGTCTGACTCCAAACCTGTTCCCTTAAGTGAGTACTTTACAACCTTCTCTTCTAACATGGAATTATTAGTAGTGAATAGCGGGTATATTTGGAGGAGGGAAAAATGGAGAGTGATAGCGAATGAGTGAGGTTTAAGTCTATACTGTGGGATTTATTACTGGGATGTTGGTGTTTAATACATGCTGGGCACAAGAAGGCATTTCTTGTTGCCATGCCTGAGAGTTGTTTATATTCAGAGCACTGTTATCTAGCCCCCAGACTTAACAATGAATGGCTAGTGGCCCAAATTTTTGCCATGAACATTCTTCCCTTTTCATCTTTCTGCAATTTTAGACTCCCAAGTCCAAGCTACAAGATGTCATTTTCCTCTGTTGAATATAGTTACCAAATTATACAGGCCATAAATCTACATTTTTTTGTTCTCCAAAAAAAAAAAAATGTTTTTGTGAATTGAAAACTACATACCAGAACGCAGAACCCAGTGGCCCCAGGATATTCCCACATCCACAGTCCCTCTACACAGAACCCACAGAGAATTCTACAATAAAAATGTTGAAAGCCAATCTTGCACTCCTATTTTAGGTTGAAAATTTCAAAATCTAAAGGAGCACATATGCAGCTAAAAAATAACAAAAGTATTTCTCACACATTTTCATAGATTTCATTATTTGCTGACTACCAGAATACTTAGTGTTTAAAGGATTTTTTCAGAAATATTATATCCTCTAGCAAGGCATAACATGTCCACCATCGACTTACTCCACCATGCTTCAAAGAATATTGCTTGTCTATTATCACAGATAAGGAAGATCCTTATGAAATTTTATTTGTAACAGGATTATGTTCAGAAAACTAGGTCTGCAGGTTAATTCTTCACACCTTTATGGGTCATCCTGATGTCAAGTAGGGGGTGAGTATTTAGTGGGTGATTATCATCCTTTTGTGAAGGTTCATAATATGTTTTATCCAGATGAATCAAAATATAGGGAAGGATTCAGTAAGGGTATACCTTGTCAGTCATAACAAAAGAATTTAGAACAAGCTTTGCTAGAAGCTCTGATCCTCGAAGATTCATTTATAAAACCCAGATCTGCAGACATTGAAGTGTCCTATTCATAATCCTTGCCTTCAAGATCAGCACACAATTACAATAAAAGCAAGACGAGTGTTACAAAAGATTCGTCTTCGAAGGAATGAAAAAGATCTCCACTAGAGGCATCAGGAGAGGCTTTTTCTACAGAGGTTGCCTTTGAAATCGTCCTTGAAAGATATGGAGAATTCATTGTTGAAAAGTAAATAAAATGGAACAGCATTAAGGAGCGGTCAAGCAAAAACTGCAGAACATATTGGGAGATGCATATAACTTAGTAAGAATGGGTTTGGAGATTGGGCTCAAAACGATGTTGGCTAGTGAGCCTTGAAGGCGGACTGAGAATTCTGCACATAGATCATTAGGCAGAGGGGAGCTATTGAAGTTTGTAAGATGAAAGTGCAGTCAGATCAATCCCAAGCTTCTGGATAAATCTGACAGCAATGTCTTACATGAGAAGCAAAGATGGCAGAAAGGAGTGAAGGCTGTGGATCTGTTAGGTTGCTATTGCAGCAATATAGATATTAGGGCCTGGAAAATGATACATTTTAGTAAACCTTGGAAGAAGGAAACACAGAGGTAGAATCTACGTGGAGACTCCCCAACTAATTGCTTGGGGCAGCGATGGTACTGCTTAAGGAAAATAAGGGAGGGAACAAAGGTTTTGAATTGGTGATAGAAAAGATGGTGGCTCTGTTATTAGAAATGAGAAAGTCAGGAGGAGAGCAAGATTTTCCATGGGTAGAAGTCACAGAGTTTAACTTGGATCATAGATGGTTCAATTGCCATTAGTACATGCATAGGCATTTTGAATGGGTCTAGAATTTGACCCTGGGGTTATAAACGTGGAATCTCCTACCTCAGCAGTAGCAATAGAAGCCATGGAAGCTAGTCAATCTTCAGGAAATAGTCGATGCAGAAGGTGACCTTGTATGGGCAGGGAGGCAAAATACCAGAAGATTGTGACGGTAAACAGAAACAAAACAAAACAAAAGAGTACAGTAACAGAAACCTGGATTCAAATCCAGACCCTGTCTCTTAGGAGCCATGTGGACTTCAAGAGTCTTTTTTGAGAATTAAATAAGATGTATATATAAAGCAACAGTAAAAGTTTTAAAAATCCAATTAAAAACTGAGTGAAAGACAGTTGATCCGAGAGAATGTACAGATGGCAAATAAACACATGAAAAGATATTCAAGTTCTTTAGCCATTAGGGAAGTATAAATTCAAACCACAATGAGCTATCGCTATGCACCTATCAGAATGGCTAAAACAAGAAATAGTGACAACATCATAAAAGCAGGCAAACTACATCACTTATATGTTATTACTGGCAGGAATGGACAATGGTACAGCCACCCTGGAACACAGTTTGTCAGTTTCTTTAAAAAATACATGCAACTACCATATAACCTTGCAATTGTACTCCTGGGCATCTACCCCACAGAAATAAACACTTACATTCACAAATATTCATAGCAGCTTTATTCATAATAGCCCAAAACTGGAAACAGCCCAGATGCACTTTAACAGGTAAATGGTAAGACAAACCATGGTACATCCGTACCGTGAAATATTACTCAGCAATGTAAAGGAACAAACTACTAATACATGAAACAATTTGAATGAGTACTCAGAGAATTATGTTGAGTGAACAAAGTCAATCTCAACAAGTTACATACTGTATGATTCCATTTATATAACATGCATGAAATGACAAAATTATAGAAATCAATTAGTGATTGACGGTGATTTCCAGTGGTTAAGAAGAGAGTTGGAATGGGAAGGTTGTGGTTGTAGCTACATAAAAGAGCAAAATAAGAGATGGCTGCAGTGATGGAAATCTTCTGTATTTTGCCTGCATTAATGTCACAATCCTGGTTGTGACATTGTATGATAGTTTTGCAAGATATATCCATTGGAGAAACAGTGAAGTGTACATAAGATCTCCCTGTCTTACAACTGAATGTAAATCGATAATTATTTCAAAATAAAACATTTAATTACAAAAAACTTAATTCAGTTATCCTCCCATATTTAGGTGAGATTCTGTGGAGAATCACTATATGTTAAATGCTCTTTGAAAGAGGGGAAGGAAACAGGAAAGAAGGAGGAGAGAAAAGAAGAGAGGGAGGGAAAAAGGGATGGTTGGGAGGGATAGGAAAAATGGAAGAGAAAAAAATAGAAATGGATTTTGCAAAAAATTACCAGATCATTCTTCAAAAAATCTGGGGGAAATGGAGGCAGGAAGAATAGCTAGGAGTTTCCAATAGGGTTCTAGGAGGTGAAATATGATATATTTGATAACGGAGAAGAAACTGAACCCTTACCAACAAAGAGCATAAACCTACTGAATGTGAACTCAAGAATTCCTCTTGGCACGAAGTCCCTGGAGTGTCCAAGAAAAATTAATGGCCCACGGGGTATAATTTTGCAAATTTAAAAGTTAAAATGAAATCTCCCTATCTGTTCCAGCACATGTGTGTCCTTGCAACATGATATTTATGATGTGAATTGGGCTGATTAAATCCATTTTAGGGTTCAGGGATTTGCACAACCTAAATATCCTGGTTCTCAGGGAATGAAGAGCTTCATATTTCCTTTGCATATTTACTCTTAATGACATCAATAGGAAGCTGTTAGTGATAAGGAGAACTTGGCTTGGGAGATTGGGGGGTGGGAAATTTAGCTATGCACAGTCGAATGTCAACCTGAATACAGGACTCCTCAGCCATGATTTCATGAAACCTCTTTTATGAGCCCCCACCTGGGACTTTCATACACAGATGGTATATATCTGAAAGCTTGACATGAGAGGTTTCTCAGAGTTAGTAAACACAGAAGTGATGGATGCTAGAGATAGAGTAAACCTCATCATGGAATCTGGAGGAAGGCAACATTCCTGCTGGAGACTAAAAAGGAAATGGCAAATTAACCAGTGAATTAGACTCAATGCTGAAACCAAAGATCATTACACATGCCAAGCCCAAACTCATAACCAAAACTTACAAAGTAAAACACAATAGGAAAAATTATTATCCTCCTGCAAAGTCAGCTCTGGTAGACCTTATACAACTTAGTAACCCCCTGAAATAAACAGATCTTGTTTTAAAAGGAGCCAAAGAAAGGTCCAGGCAATATATTATCTTCACTCTGGGCAACTCCTATTGGACAGGATTTTGCACCTCTCTGTACAGACCTAGCAAATCTTTGGGTGAGGAATCTCCCATGAAGCTGGAATTGTCAGACTGCTTGTTTCTCTTTATTAATATCAGACTGGAATTACAGTAACAGGCCAAATAATGATGTAAAACCCAAAAGGAAGAATGCTGCTAATTGCCAGATTTGTTATGGAATTACCACATTTCTGTTTCAGTGCTAACTTTTGGGAGATGCATTGAATGAAAGCTCGAAAGAAACCATAGATCAACGTCAGTCATTAATATTGAGGTGGAAAAAATTCAGAAGGCAAGCCTGTAAGCTTGGGCATTTGATACGTCAACATAGACACCTTTGTGGAGAACAATCAATAGAAACATATTTGCTGCTGAGCACAGTAATGAACAAAATTTCTGCATATAAACTTGAAAGTATAATGGATGTATAGATGGCAAAAATCTGGTTCTTCTCTAAAGAATTACGTAAGTCTTTTATTAAGATTCATTTCTGTCTTGACCTCCAACCTGTCACTGCTTCCTTTCTGCCTTTCATGTTTTCTCACCTTGATGCAAGTCAAAATACTGTCTTGCTATAGTGCTGACATTTTATTTTAGGTAACTGTATAGTTTAACTTTGCTCACCACCATTCTTAACATATGGAAACAATTAATTCATTTTCTTTGCCATCATTAGGATTGCAAACCTAGGATATTCTACATGTAACCTCATCACAGATTTCCCTTAACTAATTACATAATATCCAACCCATTTTCTTAAAAGTAAAACTTGCTAGTTAAGGAATAAAGAAACAGCATTGCTTATAATAAACTCTGCATGTTACAGTGTAATTTAAACTGTACTGTTATGTATGGTGAAGGGCTGAAAGTTTAGAGTTCCTCCTCTTGGTAAAGGTTTTTTTTTTTTTTTTTAAGGGTTGCTTAAATAAGCAGTACAGAAACCAGATGTCATTTGGTAAGAGTATCTGAATGACCAAAAATTTGCTGTCTGGGTATTTTTTCCTTTATAAAAACAAGAAAAATTCTTTGGATTTATATCATATTTAGCAGCTGTGAAACAGTGCAAACATCTGTTTGTACCTATGGGGAGCTGACCCGCGGGGCCCTCATCTCTTAATCACCAAGCATCAAGCCAGTCTCACATGCACAGTTTATTGTTTTCTTTGCCGTTGCCTCCCACACTTCAAAGTTTTCATACACTCATGTTCTATTGGCAGAATGGAGAAACTAACCCATTCATTATAAGACCAGATGATTAGAATTTTTTGACGCATGATCACAGCATTCTCTCCACCAAGCCCATGTCCAGAAACACATTCATATTTGCCTCTAAATTCATTTTGGAGTGTCTACACTTACTCCAAATAATGCAAGATTTATGAGCCTCAAGCAAGCTTGTAGTAGCACATACACTAGACTGCACAAGACTTACCGTCACCATTTGGGGCCACAACCTTTAAAAGGCCATCTTAAAATAATTTGTCCCTTTTTAGGTATGAGTACAGACATTATACTACATCTTATTTTGGAGTTTTTCTTTTAGGATTTTGCTACAGTTTTTTTTTTTTTAAGAGCAATAACAACAACAACAAAGCCTTTGCCGCACTTGCACATCCAGGGAATATCAGTTTCTAAAGGCCAACATTTTCACTGCACTTTATAAATAGGAAAAGTATGCTGGATTGGAATTGAAGTTTGCCAGGTCAAATCAGCAGTTTTATTTATGCATTCACATTAAAAAAAAGTCTGCCAAATAAAGCATTCCTGTTGCAAAAAAGGTAAGAATCAGCTTCAGTTTCCTATACTTATAAAAACTAGTTAAAACAAGGTCTCATTACAATTACTTCCATTACAAAAAATTATATGTTCTATATATCAATTTTATTTATGAAAATGATCCAATCATTAAAATACTCTATTAATAGGGGAATAATGTTATCTGTAACAATTGACTTTTGATCAATGAATGCCTTCAGTCGCCCCTATTTCTATAACAGACATTCTCTACACTACGTGCTATTTGCATTGCACTGTGGAATCAAAGAGGAGGTCATATTATAGCTGTACTCTCACCATATAGAAACTACATTTTGTTGGTTTCTCTGTTTTATGCATTCTGACCACCTCCATAGAATGGAGTGAGAGGGGAATGTACCCAACAAATTAAAGCCATAGGAATAGCTAGGAACTTGAAGCAAGATGCTAAGGTAAAAACCACATGCACAACACCTCCTTTATTATCCTGCTGAGTTCAAAGCACTTCTGTAACTTGATAAGACACTAAAGAAAAACTAGACCTTTATAGTAGAATGATTTATAATCCTTTGGGTATATACCCAGTCATGGGATTGCTGGGTCAAATGGTATTTCTGGTTCTAGATCCTTGAGGAATCGCCACACTGTCTTACACAATGGTTGAACTAATTTATACTCGCACCAACAGTATAAGAGCGTTCCTATTTCCCCACATCCTCTCCAGGATCTGTTGTTTCCTGACTTTTTAATGATGGCCATTCTAACTGGCATGAGACGGTATCTCATTGTGGTTTTGATTTGCATTTCTCTAACGAACAGTGATGATGAACTATTTTTCGTGTTTATTGGCCACATAAATGTCTGCTTTTGAGAAGTGTCTGTTCATATACTTGGCCCACTTTTTGAAGGGCTTGTTTTTTTTTTGTAAGTTTGTTTGAGTTCCTTGTAGATTCTGGATATTAGCTCTTTGTCAGATGGATAGATTGCAAAAATGTTCTCCCACTCTGTAGGTTGCCTGGTCGCTCTGATGACAGTTTATTTTGCTGTGCAGAAGCTCTTTAGTTTAATTAGATCCCAATTGTCAATTTTGGCTTTTGTTGCCGTTGCTTTTGGTGTTTTAGTCATGAAGTCTTTGCCCATGCCTATGTCTTGAATGGTATTGCCTAGGTTTTCTTTTAGGGTTTTTATGGTTTTAGGTCTTACATTTAAGTCTTTAATGCATCTTGAGTTAATTTTTGTATAAGGTGTAAGGAAGGGGTCCAGTTTCAGTTTTCCGCATATGGCTAGCCAGTTTTCCCAACACCATTTATTAAATAGGTAATCCTTTCCCCATTGCTTGTGTTTGTCAGGTTTGTCAAAGATCAGATTGTTGTAGATGTGTGGCATTATTTCTGAGGCCGCTGTTCCATTCCATTGGTCTATGTATCTGTTTTGGTGCCAGTACCATGCTCTTTTGGTTACTGTAGCCTTGTAGTATAGTTTGAAGTCAGGTAGCGTGATGCCTCCAGCTTTGTTCTTTTTGCTTAGGATTGTCTTGGCTGTATGGGCTCTTTTTTGGTTCCATATGAAATTTAAAGCAGTTTTTTTCTAATTCTGTGAAGAAAGTCAGTGGTTGCTTGATGGGGATAGCATTGAATCTATGTATGTTTATTGTGGCACTGTTCACAATAGCAAAGACTTGGAACCAACCCAAATGTCCATCAATGATAGAATGGATTAAGAAAATGTGGCACATATACACCATGGAATACTATGCAACCATAAAAAAGGATGAGTTTATGTCCTTTGCAGGGACATGGATGAAGCTGGAAACCATCATTCTCAGCAAACTAACATAGGAACAGAAAACCAAACACCGAATGTTCTGACTCATAATTGGGAGTTGAACAATGAGAACACATGAACACAGGGAGGGGAACGTCACACACTGGGACCTGTCAGTGGTTGGGAGTGCTAGGGGAGGGATAGCATTAGGAGAAATAGCTAATATAGATGATGCGTTGATGAGGGCAGCGAACCACCATGGCACGTATATACCTATGTAACAAACCTGTACGTTCTGCACATGTATCCCAGAACTTGAAGTATAATTAAAAAGAAAAAAAAGAGTTCTTAAAGACTAGACCTTGGATTTGTCTCATCTTTATAAGCAGTATGGTCTAATGTACATTTTCTGAATCTGGGAATCATGAAACAAGACTAACACCCAAGATACCAATAATTGTTCCTGGGTGGGGGAAAAAAGGCTTCATGGTCAATTAAACTTGGGAAACACTCATAGAATGCCCCCTTTTTTGGATAAACACAAAGCCTATTAGCAAATTAAAGTCCCTATGAACTATTGCAGTAAAGGCATCTTACATAATTATTTGTAAAACATTAGGAAAACTTTTAAGACATAAGAAGATGTAAAGAATGATAAAATAAACCCACCTAGCAACTTACAAAAGAAATATTACAAATACAGTTGGCACCTCTGTGTACCCCTCTCTCATCATACCTGTTCCCTCTCTCTGAGGTAACAAAATTCTGAATGTTGTATAAATGGTTCATGCAGTTACTAATATCTTTATTACCTTTCCATATATACCTAAACAAAAGGTATACTTTGTTTGTTTGTTTGTTTATTTTTTGAGACGGAGTCTCGCACTGTCGCCCAGGCTGGAATTCAATGGCATGATCTTGGCTCACTGCAAGCTCTGCCTCCCAGGTTCAAGCGATTCTCCTCCCTCAGCCTCCCAAGTAGCTGGGACTACAGGCACCAGCCACAATGCTCGGCTAATTTTTTGTAGTTTTAGTAGAGACAGGGTTTCACCATGTTGACCAGGCTGGTCTCGTATTCCTGACCTCAGGTGATCCACCCACCTCGGCCTCCCAAAGTGCCGGGATTAAGGTATACTGTTTTTTACGGTTTTAATTTTACAAAAATGGTATCATGCTCTAGGTATTATTTTGATAATTCTTTTGAGGAGAGGAGCTCAACATTATATTTATGAGATTTTAATGTATGTAGCTCGAGTTTATTTTTACTGTTGTGTAGTACTTAGTTGTACATATATACCACAATTTATTTATCTAGTCTTCTCTTGAGTATTTAGATTGTTTTTTTTTCAATTACAAATAGTACTGGTATTGGCATATGTGCAGACAGAATAACCGAATGTCACAGTATAGAGAGGCCAGAACAGATCACTAATGTGTAGAAATTCCACAGATGATGGAGGAGACTCCTGAAAGTCTGTGATCAAATGTTGCAGGGGCAATTATTTATCCATATGGGAAAAAAATTAAACTAGATCTTTACCTCACACTATAGCTCCAAATCAGTTCCAGGTATATTATCATCAGTTCTAGGTATATTGTATATTGACTAAATGTAAAAAGCAAAACAGGCCGGGTGTGGTGGCTCACGCCTGTAATCCCAGCACTTTGGGAGTCCGAGGCGGGTGAATCACTTGAGGTCAGGAGTTCGAGACCAGCCTGCCCAACATGGTGAAACCCCGTCTCTACTAAAAATACAAAAAATAAGCTGACCTGGTGGCTGGCGACTGTTATCCCAGCTACTCAGGAGGCTGAGGCAGGAGAATAGCTTGAACCCCAGAGGCGGAAGTTGCAGTGAGCTGAGATCTCGGCACTGCACTCAAGCCTGGGCGACAAGAGCGAAACTCCATCTCAAAAAACACACAAAAAAAGCAAAACATTGAATTTCTAGTAGAAAATATATGACACTATATGAGAGTATGGAGGAATTCCTAAAACAAAACACTAAAAGTGTATACTATGAAAAAAGCATTAATAAATTAATCAACCACTCAATTAATAACTTCTGTTCATCAAAAGACACTGTATAAAAGTAAAAAGACACTGTATAAAAGTAAAAAGACACTGTATAAAAGTAAAAAGACAAGGCTCAGAATGAGGAAAGATATTTACAAAACACATAACTAATAACGAGTTAAATCAAGAATGTTTTTAAAAAATACTTTAAAATTTAAACCAGGATTGTCTAAATTACTTGACCCTTCCTCAGAAGAATACTTGTTGACATCTCATTAAAAAATAAAAGATTACGTGAGGCACAATTTAGGAAAAATTTATATTATGGCAAAAGCAACAAACTTGGAAAAGACCTTGGTTTAGGTCTCCACCCAGCTCTTTATTCTTCAGCAATGTGACACTAGACAAACAATTTGCTAATCTGAGCCTTGATGTTTCATTTATGATATGGAAATTAGCTCTATTCTGGGTATACAAAACTAAATATCATGGAAATATGGAAACTCAGCTAACAGTCACAAAGCCACATTAAAATGACCTACAACTCCTTGCAGTGACCTCTTAGAAATCCTTTAACTTTACAAACAGTAGCAAGAGATACCTTAGGGGTTAGGTAGAAAAAGAATCAATTCTGGGCAAATTTTGTCTGAAAGATTTTCTATTCTTAGGAAAATTTCTTCTCATGGTACTTATTCAAATTCTCACTACCAAATACTACCATTGTAGATAGCAAAATAAAAAGAACAAAACACCCCTGAGGTTGGAACTTAGCTAAACTTTCAAACAAAGTATTGCTGTTTAACTATTTCCTGACATCTACATTTAGGCCACATAGATATGGCCACAATGCTCATGAGAAATAAGTTGAGAGTAGGAAACATAAGTAAAGGAAGCAAAAATAAATTTATTACGATTTTCAACCTCAAAGTACTCCCAATCAACTGTGCAAAAGCCATTTCAAATGAAAGACCAATACATTTTTATTCTTGACGATTAACCCCATTATCCATGGAGATGCCATTCTTAACGAGGGTCTACACAGACTTTCTCTTCTGTCTTGTTGTGAAAAGAGAGATCATCAATACTTATGAGAAAAGCTATTTTGTATGCAAAACAAGGGCAAAATCTTCATTTGCATAACGAGTTACTTCTTTTTAAAAAATGTAAAGTCTATATTTTACAATATTAAAGCAAAATAGAGAGTATAAAGGAATCACCTGTAGTTCAGATATTGGGGACCAATTAAAGAATTACAGTAAGAAACAAGTTTAGGATAAGTATTATAGTTGGCTTATTTTAATTCCACTAAAATTAACTTTGCAACTTCAGTTTCCAGCAATATCACAAACTAGAAATCTAGAAATGTTTATTGTTTTTAAAAGTGGTGAATAAAATATACCAAACATTTTAGTAGCAAGAAAGTAAGGAAGCTGCAAAGGTTAAAATGAAGTAAGAATCCTCTAAAGTTATCTACTATTTGTCTAGCTTCTAGAAATATAATAGGAAGAAACAACTTTCAAAGAGATAACAGCGGAGACTTTCCCAGAATTGTTGAAAGATACCAATTATCAGATTCAGAGATCCCAACAAATCACAAGAAAAAGAGAATTATACTCCTATACATAATGATAGTGATACTTAAAAATACAAATGACAAAAAGCTTTCTTCAAACAAGCCAGAGAGAAGACATATTGTATTAGAAGAAATAACAATTAGACTGATAGCTCTTACTTTCAACAACCACAATGTCACCAAACAATAGAATGATTCCTCCAATGAGCTTAAAGAAAATGTAATTGGACCTCTGTATCTGCAGCTTCCGCATTGGCGGATTCAACCAACCCTGGATGGAAAATGTAGTTAAGCCTACAATGATTGTAACTGTACTGAACATGTATAGACTTCTCTTTCTTCTAATTATTTCCTAAACAACGCAGTATAACAACCACATATCATTTACATTATATCAGCTATTATAAGTAATTCTAGAGATGGTCAAAAGTGTATGGAAGGTTGTGTGTAGGTTATGTGCAAATACTACACCTTTTATATGAGGACTCAACCATCTTCAGATTTGAATATTGGCAGGGAGTCATGGAACGAATGCCCTGTGAATATTGAGGGACAACTGGAACTCTCAATCCAGAATTCTAAACCCAATAAATTATCACTTTAAAACACAAGAAAAAACAGGGACTTTCCTCAGATTTACCAAAAACCAAACCAAACAAAAACAGACTTGTTACCTTTTGCCCTATAGACCTCACTAAAGAAAATTCTAAATTATTTATTTTAGGCAGAAGAAAAATGATGGAAGGTGTGAAATATGACAGAATGGTAAAAACATATACTTCTAAATAAGTGGGTAGATCTAAATCTATGATTCTGAACCAAGAGCAATATTCCCCCTTGGAACATCTGACAATATCGGGAGACATTTCTCCTTGTGGCAACTGGGTGAAGGGTGTGCTGCTGGCATCCGGTGTGGCAGCCAGGCCTACTGCTGAACATTCATGGCATATCAGACAGCTCCACACAACAAACAATTATTGCTCAAAATGTCAGTAGTGCTGATGCTGAGAAATGCTGATCTAAATTAATACTGTGTACACCAATAACAATAATTTGTCTTGTACAGTTAGAACTAAAATACCATCCACTAAAACATAAAGTATAAGCAGAAAGGATGGTGATTAAAGTGTTCCAAGGTGTTTGTCTAATTTGGGAGGAGGGAAAATGTACTGATTAACTATAGGCTTTGATAAGTTAAGTGATCATATTAAAATATTAAAGACAACTACCAAATAAATACACCTTAGAAATTATGTTCTCTATCCAAGTATAGGGTAATATGGAATGAGAACAGATAGAAAAACAATAAAGAAGAAGCAAGAATGGAGAAAGAAAACTAAAAAGGTGGAAAAAATGTAAAGAATATGGCAGAAATAAATACGAATATCAGTAATCAAAATAACTATAGATATACTAAAACTCTCCAGTTCAAAGAAAAATCTTCTCAGTCTAGAGTGAGGGCAGTGTCATACACTTTTAAACAACCAGCTCTCATGAGCAGTCATTCACTATCACAAGAACAGCACCAAGGAGATAGTGCTAAACCATTCGTGAGAAACCATCCCTATGATCCAATCACCTCCCACCAGTCCCCACCCTCCATCATTGGGTATAACAATTTGGATGGGGACACACATCCAAACCATATCATTCCCCAACTCATTGAGTAAGGCAAGTACACCTGTAACATCAAAATAGATAAGAATAATACACCAAAGGAATATCACAAGATAATAGTCATAGATAAAAAAATAAAAATTCTAAGCAAAACAGTAGGACCCAAATCATTAGTATCCAAATCTGTCAATGTATAAAAAAAAATTTCATGAATAAGTAGAGTTTATCCTAGATAGGCAAAGTTGGTTTAATATTAGAAAATCTGATATAATTTACCACATTAATAATTTAAAAGCGTAAAAAACCATGACCAACTCAATAGATGCAGAAAAATTATTTAATAAAATTTAACATACTATTTTATTTTTATGATTCAAGAAAACAAGAATAGAATAAGATGCTACTAAATGATAAAGGACTTTTGCAAAAAGTAGGTAAAAAAATTACGTACTTAATGGTAAAATATTAAGAGCTTCAAAACCAATACAAATATATCCATTCTTACCTCATCAATTCAAAGATGCACTGAAAAACCCAGACAAGAAAAAATAAAGAATAAAAAAGTAAAGATCAGAAAGAAAAAATTCTGGTATTATTGGTAAATGATGTGATTGTCTAATTGAAAAATTCAAAAGAATTTCCATATAAATTATGAGAATTAATAAGAAAGTTTATTAGTTTAGTGAGTTTTCTGGATATAAAGTCAAAGTCAATTGCATTTCTATACACCAGCAACAAACTATACAAAATATATATGTATATTTGTATATGTATATATGTGTATAGGTATGCATATGTATAGATATAATTTGTAAATATAAAATGTATATATAATTTTCTAAAGTGTTGTTCACTACAGCAACAAAAAATAACATACCTAGGAATAAATCTTCAAAATGTATATGACTTTTATGAAGTAAATTATAAAATGTTACTGAAATACATTAAATGAGATCTTTATAAAAGAGATATCACATTTACAGATAGAAAGACTCAGTAATGAAAAACATGTCAATTTCCCCAGTTGACCTAGAGATTTTGTATAATTTCAGTCGAAATCCTATAGAACTTTTTTATTGAGTTAATCAAGACAATTTTAAAATAGAGAAACATGAAGAACCAAGAATTGCCAAAACACTCCCGAAGAAACACAAGCTGAAGAGACTGCATCTACCAGAGAGAAAGACTTTTTATATGGCTATAATAAAAATAATATAATGTTAGTTAAAAGAGAGACAAAAGACCAATGGAACAGATTAGAGAATCCAGAAATAGAACCATAATAATATAGAGAAATCTGCTTTATGAAAGAGCAGGCAGGGCAAATCAGTGAGGATGAACTCTTTAAGATACAGCACTGGGACAATTACAGCTCTATATGGAAAAAGATCAGTGAAATTGTATTTTCATCTCACACTATTTACAAAAGTTTATTGAAAGTATTATACAAGGAAAATTATAAAACTTTAAGAAGACATCGTAGAAGAATAAATGTATGCCTTTGGTTAAGGAAGGATTTCTTAAACAGTATACAAAATGTGCAAGCCATAAGAAAAAAAGATTAAGTGAAATTATATGAAAAGAAAGACCTTTGTTCTTTAAAGGATGCCATGATGAAAGTGAAATTACCAGCTACAAATTGGGATAACTTATTTGCCACACATATAATGGACTAAGAATGGTAATCAAAATATTGTAAAAACTCCTAAAAATCTATTTTAAAAAATCAAACAATCCAGTAGAAAAATGAGCAAAGAACTTAGACACTTGGAGGAAGAAAAAACAATGATGACCACTGAATATATAGAAGTATGCCCAACCTCATTTATCACTAACTAGATGTGTTAGATTACGTTGTATCAACTTAGTTAAGCTGGGAGCTCTTTTTCCCAGAGTCCCTGTCCTTCTATCATATTTGGTTAGAGTTGATAAAACATAGTAATTTGGAAGGTGGATGTGAAACAGTGGTTATAACCCTCTGAAGGTCTTAGTGACGAAGAAATGCAAAAGTACCCCACAGGTTATAGTTTAACCAAGAGCTGTGACCAACTCTTCTTCACTACTGGCCCAGTAGTCAATGGCCCAGGCCCCTCAACCAAATGTTTGGCTGTGGAGCCACCAGCCAGTTTCTGCACAAAAGCAAGAGCTTCCTCTGCACCTCTTCACAAACTTCCTCTTTATGGTCCTACTTTCTCAGCAGGATGTGCTTTATTTATCAATCACCCTGCAAGCTTTGACTTGCCCCCCATGCCAGTGCTGCGGGAAGCTGCTTAGGGACTAGCCATCTCTGACCCCTCAACCCCTTGTAGTCTTTCACCTCCCTGGTTCCTCCCACATTCATGTGAGCTCTAATTGCAATGATAAATTCTTTATCTTGTAATAGTTATCACGACTGTGCTTCCCCAACTGGACTCTGATTGATACATCAAACAAAACACAACAGTGCTATTGGTATGACTTCCTTCACCTCCTTCTGGTCTTTGTTCAAATGCCCACCTGACCACTCTATTGAAGTTCAGTCCCACCCCAGCACCAGCACTACCTAGTCCCGCTCTGTTTTAATTTTCTCTTTAGTACTTACCAGATACTAAAATACTAAATAACTTTCATATATATTTTATTTGCTGTGTGTATTCTCCACTAGAATGTAAGTTCTATGAGGGCAAGGGCTTTAGATTTTGTTTTGTTTTTGTTTATTTTGTCTGTTTTATTCACTGATATGTCTCTATCAGGCACTTAATGAATGTTTGTTAGGTAAAAAAGTGGGATTTAATTTTGCATACATTAGATTGGCAAAATAACTAAAAAGTCAAAACATGCCAAAAATCCGCAAGGATGTAAAGCGAAGGGCATTTTTATACATTTATACTACAATCACTCTGAGAAAAACTTGGCATTACCTAGAAATTTAAATATGTATATATCCTACAACAGAGGGGTCCTCAACCCCCAGGGGCCACAGACTGGTACGAGTCTGTGGCCTGTTAGGAACTGGGCCGCACAGCAAGATGTGAGTGGCAAGCAAGCGAGCAAAGCTTCATCTGTATTTAGCCACTCCCCATGGCTTGCATTACTGTGTGAGCTGTACCTCCTGTCAGATTAGTGGTTCTATTAGATCCTCATAGAAGCGTGAACACTATGGTGAACTGCACATGTGAGGGATCTTGGTTGTGCTCTCCTTATGAGAATCTAATGCCTAATGATCTGTCACTATTTCCCATCGCTCCCAGATGGGACAATCTAGTTGCAGCAAAACAAGCTCAGGGCTCCCACTGATTCTACATTATGGAGAGTTGTATAATTACTTCATTACCCATTACAATGTAATAATAATAGAAATAAAGTGCGCAATAAGTGTAATGTGCTTGAATCATCCCAAAACCATCCCCCCGACAACCCCTGGTCTATGGAAAAATTGTCTTACATGAAACCAGTCCCTGGGGCCAAAAAGGTTGGGGACCACTGCTACAACACAGAAATTCCACTTCTAACTCCTCACTGAAGGGAGAAAGGATAATCTCTGCCACAGCTGTAAAACAGGAATCTATACAGCAGTGAAAATGAATGAATTAGATTTGTACACAAAAATGTAATTAATCTCTTAAGTATAAAGTTGAGCAAAGAGGGATTCATAGCATAGAGCATTATTCCATCAACATAAATTTCAAAAGTATGGAAAACTAAACATTGTATTTCTAGAGATACATACAGATGTGGTAAAACTATTTAAAGAAAGAAAACAAATAATAGATAAAAAATTCAGTCCAGTGGCTGTCTCTGGGGCAGGGAGAGGGATGAAATTGAAGAGGAGCACCTGGAATTTTTCAGGAGATTATTAATGCTCTATTTATTAAGCAGGATGGCATTTTAATGAGTTTTATTTTTGATATATTTAATATTTTACCTAAATTTTTATTTTTTATTTTGATTTTTAAATTTCTATATATTCATAGTGTGCAAGTGCAATTTTGCTACATCAATGTATCACATTGCAGTGAAGGCAGGACCTTCGGTGCATCTATCACTAGAGCGACGCACATTGTACCCACCAAGTGACCACCCGTCATTCACCCCCTTAAAATTTTATTTTAAAACTTTTGCCAAAGAGATGATACACTGTCCAGAAATAGGAAAACTTTGTCATGAATTAGTATAATAAAATTGAATCCTAGTTTTTATGCCTTTTATTCATCCTTAAGATAGTACTTGAACTGACAAATACTTCTTAAATTCTTTCAAAATTGTATATTTGAAGTTTTGGCCTAGGCTCTTGGATTACAAGAAACAGAAGTCCCCTCAAGCCAGCTTAAACAAAAGTAGAAATGAATTTTAAGGAATATACTCTACGTCTCACAGACCCCAAGGATAAGAATGTAGCCAAGCCTGGAATTGGGAATGGAAAGAGGTCATGACAGTTTCTCTGTTTCTGCTTCTTTCCTCAATTGGTCTCATTCCTTCCTCTTTTCACAGTGGCTTTCCTTGCTATTCCATCCACACTGTAAAACCATACTCCCTGGCAGCTGTGGTTTATTTGTTAGAGTTCCAACATGAGACAGTGATTAATTAGTTCCAAACCTCAAATTAAAAATTTCAGAAGAGAATCTGATCACCCCAGCTTGAGTTGGGTGTTATATCAGGCCAATTGGCTGTAACAACAGGGTCTGGTTCACACAGCACAAACATGGCTTCCACAAGCACTGCAGTTTTAGTGAAAGTTCAAGGTAAAGGGAGTTATAGTGAGCTGCAAAGGCTGCTACTACAACTGGACAAAATGTAAGGCATAAATGGGGGGATCATCAATGTACACATTTAATCTTCTAAGTATTGCTGCCTTATTTATCAAGCAATCTTATTGGCATTTATAAAATCTGTTCCAAAACAGTCTTCCATGTCTAGAGTAGTCATCACAGACTTTGAAAAATCTCTTTGGGTAAGCACAGTGGCTCATGCCTGTAATCCCAGTGTTTTGGAAGGCTGAGGTGGGAGGACTATTTGAAGCCAGGAGTTCGAGACCAGCCTGGGTAGTATAGCAAAACCCTGTTTCTATGAAAAAATTAAAAATTAGCCTGGGTGTCATGGCATGAGTCTATTAGAGTCCAGGAGCTTGAGGTTAAAGTGAGCTATGTTCATACCATTGCACTCTGGGCTGGGAAGAAGAGCAAGAAATGGTCTCTAAAACAAAAGAAAAAGAAAAATCACTTTAATAAAGATGCAGGATTTCATTACAGGTATTTTGAAAATTTACTTCCGATAAAAACGTAAACCTATAGGTTCAATAATACTATGGAAATCTCCTTTCTTCACCCTCAATCCATATTTTGAATGAAAACTACCATCCTCCTACAAGAATTTACATCCTTGGCCATAGTGTTCGGTCCACAGATAGTCATATGACCCAAGCCAGGCTATAAAGAGCCTTTTCATGAGATTTTTTTCAAATCAGAGCTGGGAATAAAGAGTTCTTTCCTTTCTAGTCACAGAACTGTTAGCGAGTGAATCCGAGCTGTGCCATATGTGATGTGATATAATATTTGAAGTTTGACTATGATATGTTAAAAATACACATTATAATTATTAGAGTGATCACTAAAATGACAAAACAAAGAGGTATGGCTAATAATCTTTTAGTGGACTAATAAGCCAATAGTGAACATAAAAATGGAACACTAGCAAACACTCACTTAATCCAAAAGCAGGGAGAAAAGAGAAAGAGGGAACAAAACCCACAAGACTAAAATAAGACAAATAGCTGGATGACAGATTTGAATCCAATCATATTAGTATTTATATTAAATGTAGATGGTCCCTCCAGAATGAAACTATGATGATGGTTGAACAATCCTGTGAATATACTAGAACACATTACGTTGTACACTTTAAATGGGTTAACTAGAATGGGTATGCCAACCATATCTAAATAAAGCTGTTTTTAAAATGTAAATGGTCTAAACAAACACCCTCATACAAAAGGCAGCAATAAAGGAGCAATGGCCAACCTAATTTTTAAAAGCACGTACAACATCCTGTCTATAAGAAATCTACTCTAAAAATAAAGGTACAGGTAGGACAAGAGTAATAGGTTTTAAAAAGGTATACCAGAAGAACACTACAGCAGCTTTATTAACATCACATAAAATATTACTCAGAACAAGTAATTTTACCAGGAATAAAGGGCATTCAATTATAATGAAAGAATCAATTCATTAAGATGACCTAACAATTCTAAATGTGTATCCTCCTAATAATAGAGCTTCAAAATACATTAAGCAAAAACTGACAGAACTGCAAAAAGAAATAGAAAAATTCATAATTATACTTGAAAATTGTAATACCCTTCTCTTAATAATTGATAGAACAAGAAGACATAAAGTCTATAATAAATGTAGAAAACTTGAGCAGGGAAGGGGAGGAAGATGGCAGATAGGAGGCAGGGCTAACTTGCAGCTCTTGCTTGGACAGACAGAACAGCGTATGGAGACTCACAGGTGAATGTTTTCTCCAAGAACCAGTGTGGAAACATACCAGGACAGCCAAAAGAATTCACACATCCTTTGAAAGAAGCAGCATGCCACTGCAAATTCTGCAAGATGTGAAAAACTGTGAGTTCCCAAAGTGTGAGGGGAAAAATCTGCCTCTGAACACACATCCCCACTGGGGACTCTGAAAAGCCCGGTCACAGAAGAAGGATTTAACCTTATCTAGAGCTGAAACAGTTTTAGGGAGCCAACGAAACATAAAAGTAGAAGCACCAGTGGGAAGAGCCTTGTAGGCACTCCCAGTCCCCAGCTCGAGCCCAGGGAAGCCATCCCTGACTATATCTAACAGGGGCCCTCAGGGAAGGCAGCAAGTGGAATTAGGGAGGGGTCATGGGGTGAAAGAAGCTTCCAGCTGAATTTTGTAATAATTTCAACTGGGAACAAATTTTCTTGAGCAGAATCCAGGGAACGAACAGGAACTGCTGCAGATACAAGCACAGGAGCTGCCACCAACATTGGGCAGACAGGGAGGGGCAAGGCCTGAAAACAGTGCTTGCTTTCTCGGTGGGGAAGCTTTAGGCCTGGGGCAAGGTCTGAGTTCCATGTGCAGACTGACTGGATCTAAACTTGGTGCTATTAGTAGGTCACTGTGGAAATAAGACTGGCCTTGCCAACTGCGTGGGAACTGGGTGAGGCCTTTCACTACCAGCTATCCCCCTCTTCCCTGGCAAACTATATGGCACAGCAGAGGCAGCCATAATCCTTTCTGGAACATAACCCTATTGGCCTGAGAACCATCCTCCCATCTCTCACAGTGACTGTGGCAAATCCTGCCCAAGGAGGGTCTGAGCTCAGGCCCGTCTAAACCTTCCCCTACCTGGTGGCATTTCTCTACCTGCCCTGGTAGCTGAACACAAAAGACATAAGCTCTTTGGAGCATTATGGTCCTGTTCATCACCAGAGAAACCAGAATACCTACTTGGCCAACTTAGGGCAAACTTATATCCCCCTTCAACTACTGCAGATGGTGTTCTCTTGAAAGCATCACCTCTTGGCAGAAGGCCAACCAATTGAGGCCATTACAGCAATGCATGACAGAATAACCCTGCTCCCAGAAGGGAGAAAACAACAGCTAATACCACTGCCTGGCATATCTTGGCTACCCAGAGGTCCTTAGTCTGCCCACATGACAACTTCACTGCTAGTATAACCAGCATTCGAGAAAGCCAGAACACTGAACAAAACCACAATGAGGAACTCTCAGAGAGTCTACTTCATTCCCCTGCCAACTCCACCAAACCAAGTGCTGGTATCCACAGGTGGGAAACCTGAAGACAAATCATATCACAGGACTCTTTTCAGACATTCCCCAGCACCAGTCCAGAGCCTGGGAGCTCCGCTGGATGGCTAGACCCAGAAGAGCAATAACAATCACTGCAGTCTGGCTCTCAGGAAGCCCCATCCCTAGGGGAAAGGGGAGGGAACCCCATCAAGGGATCACGTCATGGGACAAAAGAATCTGAACAGCAGCTGTTGAGTTCCAGATCTTTCCACTGAAATAGTCTACCCAAATGAGAAGGAACCAGAAAAGCAATTCTGGTAACAGGGTTCTATAACACCTCCAGAAGATCACACTAGCTCCCCAGCAATGGATCCAAACGAAGAAGAAAGCTCTGAATTGCCAGATAAAGAATTTAGAAGGTTGATTATTAAGCTACTCAAGGAGATACCAGAGAAAGGTGAAACATAACTTAAAGAAATTAAAAAAAAACAGGATATGGATGAAAAATTCTCCAGAGAAATAGATACAATAAAGAAAAAATAATCATGACTTTGGGAAATCAAAGACACACTTAGAGAAATACAAAATGCTCTGGAAAGTTTTAACAATAGACTAGAATAAGTAGAAGAAAGAACTTCAGAGCTTGAAGACCTGGCTTTCAAATTAACCCAATCAGACAAAGACAAAAAAAAAATCTAAAAAAATGAACAAAGCCTCCAAGAAATTTAGGATTCTATTAAATGGCCAAACCTAAGAATAACTGGTGTTCCTGAGGAAGAAGGGAAATCTAAAAGTTTGAAAAACTTATTTGAAGGAATAATTGAGGAAATTTTCCTTGCCCTGGCTAGAGATTTGGACATCCAAATACAAGAAGCTCAAATACCACCTGGGAAATTCACAAAAAGATCATCACCTAGGCACTTAGTCACCAGGTTATCTAAAGTCAAGCTGAAGGAAAGAATCTTAAGAGCTGTGAGACAAAAGCAAGTGGTAACCTATAAAGGAAAACTTATCAGATTAACAACAGATTTCTCAGCAGAAACCCTACAAAACAGAAAGGATTTGGGTCCTATCTTTAGCCTCCTTAAACAAAATGATAGTGGGCCAAGAATTTTGCATCCAGGAAAACTAAGATTCATAAATGAAGGAGATAAAGTCTTTTTCAGACAAGCAAATGCTGAGAGAATTCATCACTACCAAGCCAGCACTACAAGAAATGCTAAAAGGAGTTCTAAATCTTGAAACAAAACCTTGAAATACACCAAAATAGAACCTCCTTAACGCATAAACCTCACAGGGCCTATAAAACAATAACACAATGAAAAAAAGAAAGAACAAGGTATTTAGGCAACAACTAGTATGATGAATAGAACTGTATCCCACATCTCAATACCCACTTTGAATGTAAATGGCCTAAATGCTCCACTTAAAAGGTACAGAATGGCAGAATGGATAAAAATCCACCAACCAAGCATCTGCTGGATTCAAGAGACTCTCCTACCACATAAAGACTCACATAAACTCAAGGTAAAGGGGTGGAAAAAGATATTCTACATAAATGGAAACCAAAAGCAAGCAGGAGTAGCTATTCTTATATCAGACAAAACAGACTTTAAAGCAACAGCAGTTAAAAAAGACAAAGAGGGGCATTATGTAATGATAAAAGGATCAGTCCAACAGGAATATCACAATCCTAAATATAAATGCACCTAACACTGGAGCTCCCAGATTTATAAAACAATTATTACTAGATCTAAGAAATGAGATAGATGGCAACACAATAATAGTGGGGAACTTCAATACTCCAGTGACAGCACTAGAGAGGCCATCAAAACAGAAAGTCAACAAAGAAACAATGGACTTAAACTGTACCCTAGAACAAATGGGGCCTTAACAGATGTTTACAGAACATTCTACCCAACAAATGCAGAATATATATTCTAATCATCAGTGCATGGAACATTCTCCAAGATAGACCATATGATAGGCCATAAAACAAGTCTCAATAAATTTAAGAAAATCAAAATTATATCAAGTATCCTCTCAGACCACAGTGGAATAAAACTGGAAACTAACTCCAAAAGAAACTCTCAAAACTATACAAATACATGGAAATTAAATAACCTGCTCTTGAATGATCTTTGGGTCAACAATGAAATCAAGATGGAAATTTAAAAATTCTTTGAACTGAACAATAATAGTGACACAACTTATCAAAACCTCTGGGATACAGCAAAAGTACTGCTAAGAGGAAAGTTCATAGCATTACATGCCTATATCAAAAAGTCTGAAAGAGCACAAATAAACAATCTAAGGTCACACCTCAAGGAGCTAGAGAAACAAGAACAATCCAAACCCAAACTCAACATATACACTATGGAATACTACTCAGCCATAAAAGAAATGAAATAATGGCATTCACAGCAACCTGGATGGAATTGGAGACCATTATTCTAAGTGAAGTAACTCAGGAATGAAAAACCAAATATCATATGTTTTCACTTATAAGTGGGAGCTAAGCTATAAGGGCGCAAAGGCATAAGAATGATACAATAAACTTTGGAGACTTGAGGGGAAGGGTGGGAGGGGGTTGTGGGATAAAAGACTACACATTGGGTACAGTGCACTCTGCTTGGGTGACGGGTGTGCCAAATTCTCAGAAATCACTACTAAATAGTTTACCCACCTGTTCCCCAAAAACTACTGAAATTTTTTTTCAAAATTGAAAGACATCACTAAGCAATTAGACTTAGTTGACATTTTTAGAACACTTCACCTAAATATAACAAAATACACATTCTTTTCAAGTGCACGTGGGACATTTACCAAGATAAATCATAAGCTGTGCCATAAAACAAATCTTGATAAATTTACAAGACATGAAATTATACAATATGTTCTCTGATGATCATAAAGTAATTATATTAGAAATCAATAATAAAAATCTAGAAAATTCCCCCAAATATTTAGATATTAAACAACACACTTCTAAATAACTCATGGAGCAAAGAAAAATTACAAGAGAATTTGGGAAATATTTTGAACTGAATAGAAAGGAAAACATGATATCTCAAAATTTATGGGATGAACCTAAAGTATGCTTAGAGGGAAATTTATAACTTTAAATGCTTATGTTAGAAAAGAAAAAAAAATCTATAATTAATCATCTAAAGTTTCATTTCAAAAAGATGGAAAATGAAAAGCAAATTAAACAATAGTAAATATAATAAATAATATAATAAAGATAAATGTGGATATCAATGTAATAGAAAACCAAAAATTAGGAAAATCAGCAAAGTCAAATTGTTCTCTGACAAAAATTAATGAAATTGATAAAATGCTGAGAAGACTGATTAAGACAAAAAAGAGATAAAACAAAATTACCAATAGCTGAAAGGTAAATAAATGGAGATATCATTGGAGATTCTACAGATAGTAAGAGAATAAAAAGAGTATATTATAATCAACTTCATGCAAATAAGTTCTAAATTTCTTAGATAACAAGGAACTTACCCAAATTATTAAATAAAAATAGACTTATTCCTCAAAAGATAAACTTACCAAAAGTGAAACCAAAATAAATAGAGTATTTAAGTAGTCCTATATGTGTTACAAAAATTGAGTTTGTAAATATAAATCTTCCCACAGAGAAAACACTGGGCCCAGATAGCTTCACTGATGAATTCTACCAAACATTTAAGGAAGAAATAATATCAATTCTACACACTTTCAAAATATGGAGGACAAATATATGAGGCCCCATGACCCTGATACTAAAACCTCACAAGGATATAGCACAAAAAAGGAAATAAAATTTATTGACCAATATCCAACATTTTTATGAATATAGATACAAAATATTAGTAAGGTGGTGAAAATGTTGAGTAACTGAAACTCTATTACCTTGCTAGTGACAGTATAAAGTGATATAACTACTCTGGAGAACGCTTTGACAGTTTCTTTTAAAGTTAAGCATAGGTTTAACATATGATACAGTAATTACATTCCTAGTTATATACTCTAGATAAATGAAACTACATGCCCACAAAAATATTTGTGCAAAAATCCTTATAGCACTCATATTTATAATAGCCCCAAAGTAGAAACAGCCCAAATGTTCACGAATAGGATAATGGATGAGCAAGTTGTATATTTATATTATAAACTGTAGATGTTAATTTAAAAAACACTACTCATACACATGAAAGCATGGATGGATCTCAGAATCATTATGCTGAACGGAAGAACCCAGACACAAAAGAGAATATACTTCAGGATTTCATTTAAATTAAATTCAAGAACATTATCTATGATAATGGAAGTCAGAACAGTGGTTATATCTGGGGTGGAGGGAACTGGAGACATAAGGAAACCTGAGCTGTCAGAAATGCTTTATATCTTGATTAAGATGTTTATTGCATGGATGTAAATATGTCTCAAAACTCTCACAGAACTATACACTTAAAATCTGTGCATTGATTGTATATAAATTATACTTCATTGAAACATGACATTAAGAAAAGAGCAAAAAACACAAGGGACTTCCACTAATTAACAGTCCCTTCATTCTCCTCTCTTGACACAGTTTTCATTAGAGAGCAAATCTATTCACAGCCTCTACTGCCACATCTATTCCCAAATGGACTTCCCTGAACATCATTCTTTATCTGCCAAGTACGCCAACATTTTCCCTTTCTCTCAGGCTTGAAACATTATACTCAAACATCTGCAGACATAGAGATTGAGTGAAAAAAGACAGTCACAACTCTTTCAAATCCTCCCTTTTCCAATGTTCTTAGCATTTAACTTCTTTCCTTTCTCCTGTCATCTTTCTTACTCAAGTCTACTCGCCTCAAACTTGGTTCATTATAAGAATTCCCTGACTCAATCTCTTTCATTCTAATCTGTCTCACAAATCCACTGCTATCAGATTAATTTTCCTGGTATAATTTTTTAACTGTGTTATCTGCCTACTCAAAATCTTCAGTAGGTGCCCATTCCTTAGAATGGAACTCAAGACTTTCATAATTTGGCCAACTCAGCTCTATCCACTGATGTGCTGATCGATGCTAAACAACTGGGAAAGGGGCCTATTTCTCTGGTGTGCATGCACCCACCATTACTAATTTTGAGCTACCAACGGCTTAACAACTGACTCACAAAACTCTTAGAAATTTAACAATCAGCTCTCCCATGAGCCAGTATGACTTGACTCCAGCATTCCATTGTCTCTACCTGTTGGAATCGCAATAATATCTTCTTTTCTAGCTAAGCTGTTCTGCTGATTACCCTGACAAGTTCACAAATATTGCATAAAACATACTCACACTAAAACAAAATTTATTGTTTATCTAAAGTTAAATTTAATAAAGTGTCCTATATTTTATCTGGCAATTCTAACCTGAATTGTCTTTTCCCCTCCCATAGTTTAAATATTTTCCCACTTGTCCCTAGAGTCACTCACACCCTTTATAGCATTCCTTAGCACATTAAAAAATACCACTATTAAACTATCCAAGCTATATAAGAACTACAACGTATAAACACCCCCAAGAAAATGGAAATAATGGTCTTTTTGGAGTTATGTTATAAAGTGAAATGATGATGGATCCAATCCAATGATGGATTCCTACAAAGTTATAAAAAATCAAATTAAAGAAAGAGACTTAGGACTATGCATTATCAAACAGACATCAACTCTTTTTATGGTCTATAAAGATATCTATTTCAATAATCCATAATTTCAGTGCAACTCAATAAAATTCCCTTAAAGATTTTCATAAAACTTAACAAACTTATTCTAAAATTTACACAAAAGAATCAAATTGCAGAAACTAATCAATTTAATACCATTAACATGAAAAACAATATGGGTTGGGGGGCAGATAATACAAGGAAGAAAACAGTATTTTTTCCTTCACCTTCCTTAGGCTTATGGCTGAGGCTCCTATAACAAAGGATAAATTAACAAGAAAAGCATATAAATTTATTTAATAAGTTTTATGTGACATAGAAGCCTTCACAAGAAAATGAACACCTGAAGAAATGGATAAATCTGTATATCTTTAAGCTAGGTTTGATGAAGAGCGGGAAAAATGTGGAGAAAAATGGTAGGGCAAAAAGGGTATCAGCTAATGGTAATGAACTGGGGGGAAGTTTGCAAGGCCTATTTCTTCAGATTCTTGTCTGTGAACCCTAAACAACCAAATCTCATGTGAACACAGAACAAGAACTCACTCATTATCTTGAATACAGCAGCAAGTCACTCAGGAGGGATCTTTAGAGATAAGGATACTTTTTTCCTCCAAGTCTGAAGAGGGTGCCTCTCAATGAGGGTCTTAGGACCTGCCGCAGGGGAAGGTCAGATGATCCTTCCCAGATTTTATGACCTGCTTTGGGGAAGAAGGGCTGGGAAAGGTGAGCATGACCTTCCTGTTTCAGTCATTTTCTCAAGTTATTTCAGCTTAAAATATTCTAGGGTATTGTTTTCCTGAATCCCATCAGAAGATTTTCTTTATAAAATATCAAGATTTATTATAAACTTCTTGGAACTAAAAAAAAGTGTTATGTATTTATTAAAATAGTTATAGACAAATAGGCCAATGGGACAAGATGCATAGCCCAGACACAGACCCACATTTACATAGAAACTTAATACCCACAGGTCTTACCTAGAGATCTGATTAAAATGCAGACGCTGATTCATTAGGTCTGGGATAAGTCTAGGATTCTGCATTTCTAACAAGCCTTCAGGTGATGCTGATGCCCTGGTCGGTCACCCACACTTAGAGAGCTAGGTTAATCTGGGATATTAACCATGGTGAGGAGACATAAATAAATAAGGAAGTTCTAAGTAGGCCAATGAGAATTTTATCAGCAAAGGGAAATGTTTCTCCTCACTGAGTTTCTTGGCTCATGAAATAGGAACTTCTACCAGTCATTCTGCCCTCTCAAAGAAATAAAGGGTGATTCTTCCATGCTCTACACCCCTTACCCAACTCTTTCCATAGTACACAAAAGTGATTTCCATATATCCTCTGAAAGCTAGGCAGAGGCTCCCAAACCTCAACTCTTACCCTCTGTGTACCTGCAGCCCCAACACCATGTGGGGCTTCCACCCTGTGAAGCAACAGACCAAGCTGTACCTAGGCCACTTTTAGCCACAGCTGGAGCTGGAGTGGCTAGGATACAGAGTGCCATGTCCTGAGGCTGCAAAGATCAGCGGGGGCCCTGCACCTGGTGCACAAAACTATGTTTCCCTCTTAGGCCTCCAGGCCTGTGATGGAAGGGGCTGCTGTGAAGGTCTCTGAAATGCCCTGCAGGCATTTCCCCACTGTCTCGGTTATTAACATTTGGCTCCTCTGTACTTATGCAAATTTCCGCAGCCTTGAATTCCTCTTAAGAAAATGTATTTTTCGGTAGGCCGGGCACGGTGGCTCATGCCTGTAATAATCCCAGCACTTAGGGAGGCTGAGACGGGCGGATCACGAGGTCAGGAGATCGAGACCATCGTGGCTAACATGGTGAAACCCCGTCTCTACTAAAAATACAAAAATTTAGTTGGGCGTGGTGGCGGGCGCCTGTAGTCCCAGCTACTCGGGAGGCTGAGGCAGGAGAATGGCATGAACCTGGGAGGCGGAGCTTGCAGTGAGCCGAGATCGGCCACTGCACTCCAGGCTGGGTGACAGAGAGAGACTCTGTCTCAAACAAAAAAAAAAAAAAAAGAAAATGTGTTTTTCTTTTCTACCACGTGGTCAGGCTGAAAATTTTGCAAGCTTTTATGCTCTGCTTCCCTTTTAAATATAAGTTCCAGTTTCAGATCCTCTCTTTGTGCACATATATGAGCATATGCTGTTAGAAGCAGCCAGGCCACATCTTGAATGCTTTGCTGCTTAGAAATGTCTTCCACCAGAAAGACAGTGTGGCGATTCCTCAAGGATCTAGAACTAGAAATACCATTTGACCCAGCAATCCCATTACTGGGTATATACCCAAAGGATTACAAATCATGCTACTATAAAGACACATGTACATGTATGTTTATTGCAGCACTACTCATAATAGCAAAGACTTGGATCCAACCCAAATGTCCATCAATGATAGACTGGATGAAGAAAATGTGGCACATATACACCATGGAATACTACACAGCCATAAAAAGGATGAGTTCATGTCCTTTGCAGGGACATGGATGAAACTGGAAACCATCATTCTCAGCAAACTATCACAAGGACAGAAAACCAAACACTGTGTGTTCTCATTCATAGGTGAGAATTGAACAATGAGAACACCTGGACACAGGGCGGGGAACATCACACACCAGGGCCTGTTGGGGGTTGGGGGCTGGGGGAGGGATAGCATTGGGAGAAATACCTAATGTAAATGACGAGTTGTTTTGGGGGACACCAACATGGCACATGTATACCTATGTATCAAACCTGCACGTTGTGCACATATGCCCTAGAACTTAAAGTATACTTTAAAAAAAGAAAAGAAAAGAAATGTCTTCCACTGGATACCCTAAATCATCTCACTCAAGTTCAAAGTTCCACAGATCCCTAGAGCAGGGGCACAATGCTGCCAGTCTGTTTGCTAAAGCACAGTAAGTGTGACCTTTGCTCCAGTTCCTAATAAGTTCCTCGTCTCCATCTGATACTTCCTCAGCCTGGACTTCACTGTTCATATCACTAACAGCGTTTTGGTCACAACCATTCAACAAGTCTCTAGGAAGTTCCAAACTTTCCTTCATCTTTCTGTCGTCTTCTGAGACCTCCAAACTGTTCCAAATCTGCCTGTTAACCAGTTTTAAAGCTGCTTCAACATTTTCAGGTGTCTTTATAGCCATGCCCCACTTCTCTAGTACCAATTTTCTGTATTAGTCCATTCTCACACTGCTATAAAGATGCACCTGAGACTGGGTCATTTATAAAGAAAGAGGTTTAGTTGGCTCATGGTTCCACAGGCTGTATAGGAAGCATGGCTGGGGAGGTCTCAGGAAACTTACAATCATGGCAAAAGTCAAAGGTGAAGCCAGCACATCTTACATGGTTGGAGTAGGAGGAAAAGAGACAGAGTGAGGGGAGAAATGCTATGCAGTTTTAAACAACCAGATCTGTGAGAACTCACTCACTGTCATGAGAACAGCAAGGGGGAAATCTACCCCCATGATTCAATTACCTCCCACCAGGTCTCTTCCCAAATATTGGGAATTACTACTTGACATGAGATTTGGGTGAGGATGCACAGCCAAAATTGATCACCTATAGATATAAATGAGAATAAAATAGGGAAATAAAGATACAGGTGTCTGAAAGGAATGACTTAGGCAATGACTGAGATGCACTTCCCATGGGAGAAGGGAGCAGAAAGAGGATGCTCAAGTGTGAGGACAGGTGTCGCTGAGCAGGTGAAAGCAGTGGGACCTCAGTCCACTCATGGACAGAGACCATTGCCCAATCTCTCCACTCAGATATGTCACTGCTGTGTCTTATAGAATGGGTATAGTAAAGGGGGTAGAGTGTGGAAGAAGCACCCTTTACTTCTTTGAGAGGGCAGAAGAATTGACAGACGTTCCTATTTCATGGACCAAGGAACTCACTGGGGAGAAACATTTCTCTCTACTGATAAAATTCTGATTGGACTACTTAGAACTTCCTTATTTGTTTATGTCTCCCCACCATGACTGATCTCCTGGATTAACCTGCCTACTCAAAGTATGGGTGTCAGACCAGGGCATCAGCGTCATTTGAAGCTTGTTAAAAATGCAGAATCCTAGACCTACCTCAGACTTAGTGTTTTAGTTTGTTTTGTGCTGTTATAATGGAATACCTGAGACTGGGTAATTGTTAAAGAACTAAGATTTATTTCTTACAAGTCTGGAGGCTGAGAAGACCAAGATTGAGGAGCCAACATCTCACAAGGGCCTTTATGCTGCAGCATTCCATGACAGAAGGCAGAAGGGCAACAGAGGGTGAGAGAGAAAGCAAGAGATCATACTTGCAGCCTCAAGCCCTTTTATAACCAGCATTAGTCAATCCATGAAGGTAGACTCTTCATGACCTAAGCACCTCCCATTAGTCCTGTCCTCCCAACACTGTTGAGTTGGGGAATAAGTTTCCAACACAGGCTTTTTGGGGGACACATTCAAGCCATAACACCTAGTAAATCAGAATCTGAATTTTAGTCAGATCCCCAGGTGAGTTCTATGCATATTATAGTTTGAGCAGTGTTCTCTAGGATATTCTCAGACCAAGTCAATTTTCTTGGCATATACTGCTTAATTTGTTCCATCAGTGAGATTCCTCTAGACTGCTACTGTCCAAAAGGGAAGCCAGTAGCCACTTATTGCTATTAAACATTTGAGATGTCCCATCAGTGTAAAACATATACTGAATTTCAAAGACTTAATAAACAAAAGCAAATGTAAAATATATTATTTTTTATATTAATTACATTTTGAAATAATACTTTAGAGATATTGGGTTAAATAAAATATATTATTAATATTAATGTCATCTATTTGTTTTTACTTTTTTATCATGGCTTCTAGAAATTTAAAAATTATATATGTGTCCTCCATTTGTGGCTCAAATTATATCTTTACTGGCCAGCACTGCTCTAGATCCCGGACTCTGCCTCCTCCTCTGAAATTGTATGACTCATACACCTGTCTCCATAGTAATTAACTTCCTGGCTGGAATCCCATGATATTCACCCCTTGATATGACTAATAATCCCTTGGTCTGACAAGCCTTCTAGTCCTGGTCATCCCCATCAGGTTGTTAATGCTCTGGCAAAATGCAAATTTTTTTCTTAGTTTAGGTTTTGCTGTGGTCTGAAAACGCCCTATAAATAAAAGAACAGAGACCAGGGGTCTAGTTCAGACTAAGCCTTTAACGTTTTACATTCTCTATGACCTTGGCCACGGTATTTTACCTCTCAGTATCTCTTCCTCCAACCTAACCCTGTTATCTGAAAAGTGAGAGGTTTGAACTAGATAATCTTTATGATTCTAGAAATTCCTAACACAAGCAATCGTTTATTCTCAGTTATAATTTATGCTCATTTACTATCACTCCAATTAGATTGTAAACTTCTTGAAGGCAGGCATTTTATCTTATAATTCTACCTCTAACTACTTCTGCTACGACTGACCTTCAGGGTTTTCAACAATTGTCTTTGATGATGACTTTTGTGCTGAAAAACAAAGCACTTATTCAGCTAATCTAAGCTTTAGAAAAAACTTGAGGTCCTATAAACAGACATAATCCACAAGCAGTTGCATTTTGAGGTAAATCATGCCTGCCTCCTTGTGTGTGCACATTTGTTTTTGAAAATTTGACCATCTGACTGTAACCTGAGGAATCTTGGTTAAACATTTCTTTATGCAAAACAAAGAATGTTGAGTAGTTAAATATTTTACCTCTGAGGCTAAAATTGGGTTATTTTTTGTTTCCTCCCCTCTGAATATTTAAGGTGGAAAACCAAGTGTTAATGTTCAAATGATTTCCAGAGACAAAAATCCCATCATCTATGAAAGTATAGTGGTTACCTTTGGATGGTTAATTAATTCAGCAAACATGGATTACACACCTTCTATTGTAACTGAATGAGTCAGCAATCTTTGCTGAGAATCTTCTAAATATGGAGAGCCCTTAGGTAATACAGAGGAAATTGAAGACCAGTCCTTCTTCTCAAGCATCTTACAACCTCGTTGAGGAAAACCGAACACATAAATTGAAGAGAACTAAATGGATATTTGCACAATACAATAGTAAAGAATGAATATTTGTTGAGCTCCTGCTATATGCAAAGTGCACAGCAGATACTAATAGGAACAAGGCTAACATATGCACTCTCAACCTAAGTTCGGGTGCTAAAGATTCAAAGGGAGATCAGATTAGCTGGATACTCAAAGGGTTAAGGAATTGTTTGAAAAAGTAGGAAGCCAGGAGAAGGCAACTGTGCTGCTGGCAGCAGGGCAGATCTAAGGACCTTCAGGTAGCAGTGCAGTTCAATCCTTTGCCCAGAGAAACTGGAAAAGATAGGAAACCCCAGAAAGGGAGTTCAATCATCTGAAGTCCACCTGTGGCCCTGTGGTTTGAAGACCACCTGTGGAGAATCACTTGGTAATCTTGTTGTAAATGCAGACTTCTCTAGCCTACTCCAGGGCCATCACATCAGAACCTTTGAGGGTGAGCTCCAAAAATCTGCACTTTGAATACACTGTAGGTGATTCTTATGCACACAGAAGTTCCCAAACCACACATTTAATGAGAACAAGGGTATCAGATTGATTCTGACCCAAGCTTGAGGCCTGTCTTTTTTCCTTCTTCTTTTTTTCTTTTGAGACAGGGTCTTACTCTATCACTCAGGCTAGAGTGCAGCAGTGCCATCAGCTCACTGCAGTGTCAACCTCCTGGGCTCAAGTGATCATCCTGCCTCAGCCTCCCAAAATGCTGGGATTACAGGCATGCACCACCATGCCTGGCCAAAACCAGGCCTGTCTTCACAAACTTAATGATCAATTGTCCCCCTCCTTCTGTACAACCTCTCTAAGCTGCAGTGTCCCTATCCATCAAATGGAAAAAATAAATACTACTTACCTATAGTCTCGTTGTGAGGATCAAATGATGAACAACCTAAGATGCTTAGATGTAGTGTGCACTCAATAAGTGCAATAAAAACTATAATAAGCTCAAAAAGAATTCATTAAACAGGTGAACAGGTAAAGGAGATGTGATGACAAAATGAGACAGAAGAAAATTCTGAAAGGGCAGAGTTAGAAGTCCAAGCAGGAGGCTGGTGCTCTCAGATTGTGTTTCCAATGATAACCTCCAGTTACCGACACAATGTCTATGTGCCAGGTTACATTCACATTGACTCAAATGACCCTTAAAGCCACCCTGTGAAGTAGGAATTTAATAGGACGTTAGCTAAAGATTGGCAAGGTTAAGCCTCTTGAGCAAAGCAACCCAGCTAGTAAGACATACAACACACATTAGGGAGTAATTTGTGTTACCATCAAATGGCAATAATCCAACTGTGAAGCACCCAGCATGCCTTTCTCTGGACGGAGATGAGCCAGGCCAACACCAAGCAAGCTCTGCAATAGAGCCACATTCTGAGACTAAAGAGTACACAAAGGTATCAGGGCTCAGGAATGTGGGGTCAACAGTAGAGCCGTATTACACAGTCTGCCAAGAACTTTCCTTATCGCCCAAACTATTGTTAGTACCCATAGAGATGGGGAAATAGCAGACATTTATTTCCTGCCACATTTCTAAAAGTGATGAAATTTAAACCACTGTCCTGTTACTCTTCAGTCATGATTTGCTATTAGTATTAAGTGAAAATGCCACATTTCACGGTATTTTTGATACAGGTGGGTAGGGTTCAAAATCCAAATACAGAAACAAGAGCTCTGAAAGGATCACAGTCTGCCTAGGAAGGAGATTATAATGGACACTTGTGTTGCCTAGCCAGCATCCATTCCCCCATCTTCTGTACTAACACCCTTCTTTTCATTTGGGTACCACTTCCCTCACCTAAATTCTCCTGGTTTTGGTTCGAACTGGTTCAATCAAGAGCTGATCTGAAAGGTTGCATTGCAATATCAGGAAAGAAAAGGTTTTCTTCTGCTGCGATTGGATTTGTCAGGGAATAGCCAGTTTGGCCAAGCCCACCTCATGGAGGAAGTTGGAAGTTTGCACCGCTGGATCCACACATGCCAAAAGTTCCACCCCTAGACATTTCAGGTCTGTGGGCCAATGATTTCTTTTCTCTAAGTCTGATTAAATAAGAAGTTTTATAATTTGGGAAAAATAATCCTGACATTGAGAGCTACACGTAACTCAAAGGCTATCAATTTTGTCACCAATTTACACTTAAAGTGAACTGATTGTGTGAATATAGTGCACGGGTAGGAAGAGAATGGTGTGAAAAAAGGAAGATTGGTCCTTAGTCCATGTTCTAGGATAATGATATTGAGGAGAGAAAGAACTCAAGTAAACGAACAAACAAAACAAAATGAAGCTACAAGCAACATGAGTGAGAGGCATCAAAAGAAAAAGAGTGGGGAACATGCAACACCACTCTCTGAAAAATAGAAAAAAAATTAAATATGAAAACAGAGGCTTTGCAAATACATGTGTCCCTGCTCTAAGGTAGCAGGGAGAGAGTGTTAGAAGGGGCCAAATTTTTTTTAAAAGGCAAGGAGACTAGAATGGAATAAGACAAGGACAAAGCATTTCTATGTGGGGCATATTTGGGACAACATTCAGCAGGAGGAGGCATTGAAGTCTAGGATCTTCCCTTAAAATTTAAATTAAGCAGTTAATTTAGTCTGTTGCTTAGTGGACAAACTTAGAGAAATCTGTCTGAATTTATCATCAGCAAATATCCTATTTTCACATGTGGTAGAGGGGAATTGGGAAAATCACCCGCACAAAATTCATAATGCTAGAATGCATTCATAACCAAGACACCATGCTGACAGACAAAAGCAAAAACAATTTCAGCATATAATTTCATTTAAATACAAAAAAAACTCCCTAAATAATCTCAGGCAAATAAATAAATTATGTCCTCATAGATGGATTTAATTCCATGTGACTCAGTAGTATTTGCTTTTAATTTTTTTCATGAGCAGCAATTAATAGGATATATAATTCCATGTATCTCTTCAGGTGCCACACAATCAAATAAAAATAGATTAAATGGAGGGAAAGCAAGAACCGAAAGCCACTTATTTGGTAATTTGGGGCTGGGCGTGGTGGCTCATGCCTGTAATCTCCGCACTTTGGGAGGCCACGAGGGGAGGGTCTCTTGAGTCCAGGAGTTCAAGACTAGCCTGGGCAACATAGTGAGACCCCAACTCTACAAAAAACAAAATTAAAAATTGAAAAAAACAATTTAAAACGGTAATTCATTCCAACCAGAAATCTGATTCAAGGCCTAACTATAGCTAGATGGCATGAAATGCCTCATTTTGATCTCAAGGACAAGGACTTAATTACAATAGAAAATACAATGAAAAGATGTTAAAATTTAAGAGACTATATAAACTTAAAGGTCAGATAACTAGGATGAAAAATGGAAAAACACATTAATACTGTGGTGAAATTGTATTCTATCCCTTTCAAATACTTCAACTCCAGATATATTTGCTGTTTAAACTTAGGAGTGACTCCAAGATGCAGCAGAAGTTAATGTACCGTAATTCTAAGTAATTGTATTAATTACAACCACATGAAAATTAATAATTGGGCTTCAATATGGAGGCATCTGATGGCTAAAGTTGGGATAGACTACAAATATTTTCTTCTCTGGTGATTTCTTCTGCTCACTGATTCCTTGCATTTTATTTGTGCCGCTTAGATCCCTGTACACATTGTATTACGGTTGACTGTTTACATAGCCAGATGTATCCCCAGACTGTCAACTTTTTCAGAGCAAGAACCACTTCTTGCTGATTATCCTACATCTAAGTTTTTTCCACAGGGACTTCCATCTTAGTAGAGTTAAGGGGAGAGACAGGGGCTATCAAAAAGATTAGTACTGTTCTTCAATAGCAATAATATAAATGCCTTAAAAACTCAGGGGTCATAAAAGTCATATAGTGTTGGGTCCAACTTCTGGCTTCTCTACTCACTGGCTAAGGTATCTTGGATCAGTCACTTAATTCCTCACACTGTATCGTTCTCTCTAAAATTGGGATAAAGGTGATACCTACACTTAAAAGTTGTTAAAGAGACTTTGCGAGATGAATTTGGAAGCACCCTATATATCATAAAGGGTTTACAATTTGGCATTATGATAATTTACTATTATTCTATCCATAGGATAATGACTAGAGTTTAAGTATATCACTCTTCGGTCTTCCTCTCGGTAAATGCATTTCACTCTAGTACTCTAGTTTATTGTTATTTGGCTTAGTTGCAGTCCTGTGTGAACCAACGAAAAACTACTCCAGGTGTGAAGACGGCTCCTAGGTACTGTATTGCACAGGCCATAACCTGGACACTGATGTTCTAGACAGCTTAATAAAGACAGTCATTTGGTAATACAATTGGAATGTGTTAGTATGATTTTGCTTTGTAAAGTTTCCTCATACTTGACAGAAAAAAAAAAAAAACTGCCCCAAGAAAAAAAGTAAAGGGAGGAGGGAAGCAAAAACCTAATATTTGAGACCCTACTGTGTGCCAGGCACCCAAGAAAAGAAACAGAATCTAGACCAGCACAACTTTCTCAGCCCAAGGGTCAGTGCCAGAGGCATGGCAGAACCTTCCCAAGGTCAAGGCCAGGTTACAGAAACTGGCCTCTTTTTAATGTTTACATTTAACAAAGCAATGCCTTTAACAAGAAAAAAAATCCAGTGCACTATAATGTACTAGCCATAAGATAATTATTTTTAATATCAACTCAAGGGCATCCTGGGCATGTCGTGTGATAATAGGACACACACAGAAAGGTGCGTGATGAATCACTCCTACTTTCCCGGTAACTGTAGTTACAAGCTCACTTGGAGATAAAGTCAAAGGCTTACTTTGTGAGCATGAGGTTTGATCCTGCAATGCCCAAGCCTCACCCCTGGGATGGGTCTGGTTCAAAGCAGGGCGTTTTGATCTAACACTTTAATGCAGCCATTTGATGTTAAACCACCTTGTAAACATGTAAAATCTCCATGTTTTCAAAAACATGAAAATGATATCCCTTACTAGTGTTGGATTCAGGTCTTGTAGGACCTAAGTTTTGTATCTGATTTTTTTTAAAAAAGGATAAATTAGGTATGAAAGCAAGTATTTATTTAAAATGAGAAAAAACAACAAATTTTTTTTAAAGTTGCAAAAGCACAAACATCAACAAAAGAACAGTTTTTTAATGAACTGCCTAGCATACCTCGGAAGAATTTTTTCTACATTTCTTGACTATATTTCTTGATTATCTTCCCTGATAATCCCTTCATATGTCATTGTGTTTGTAAGATCAATCCTTAAAAGAGAAACAAAATTCTCTTTCTTCTAGGATCATTGATCAAAATCTATTTTTGATTACTAATAGTTTAGAAAAGTTGCTCTTAGCATTATAATTTTTATGGGCAATGCATATATTAATAAATTCTTAGGATGTTGTCAAATTTGAGGAAACTTCTATCAGGTTTTTCATATATGAACTGTAAGATTTCAGCACATCTCAAGTTTTCTTTATGCAGGGAAAACCCTTAAATACTCTTTGAATGAACAAAACTGAGTAACTAGTCAATGTACTTCTTATAAGTTTTATGTTATTGTTGCTGTCAGCATTTTAAGTCAGACATGTAAATATTTTTCTAATACATTCATGTAATTGACATGTTGGGATGAATAAAATATGTAACTTCACAAAGATCGTTTGTAGTACTGCTACATATGTGTGTCCTATAAACATAATAATTCTGATAAATTTGCTCTTGAGAGATTTCCAAAATATCTCTAAATATATTGAATACTTATTTTTTTTTTTGAGATGGATTCTCACCTTGTTGCCCAGGCTGGAGTGCAGTGGCATAATCTTTGCTCACTGCAACCTCTGCCTCCCAGGTTCAAGTGATTCTCCTGCCTCAGCCTCCCTAGTAAGTGGGATTACAGGCATGCACCACCACACCCGGCTAATTTTTTGTATTTTTAGTAGAGACAGGGTTTCATCGTGTTGGCCAGGCTGGTCTCAAACTCCTGACCTAAGGCAGTCCACCTGCCTCGGCCTCCCAAAGTGCTGGGATTACAGGTATGAGCCACCGTGACCGGCCTATCAAATACATTTTTAAGCATCTTCCTGGAAGCAGAGAACTTGTTTTGATGAGCACTGAATGATTCTGTTAAAATTGTACATGCCTGATGATTGGAAAAATCTTACACACACTAGCTTCTGGCTTTGTATATTTCAAACCGTATTTCTTCTCCATCACCCACAGACTTCCAGTGCTTGGAGCCATTGCTCGAGCACGTGCCCACAGGCAAGCTCCAGCTCCACACCTTTGTTTCATAATGTTGGCAAGTCGGAGCAACGGATGGTAGGAGTGGACCTGGGAGTAATTTCTACACCGAAACAGCTGGCTAAATAGCTCTACCTGGATCTGACTGCAAACAGTAGATGCTCTGACCTGAACCTAAATGGATCCTCCACTGAGCTGTCCTGTACCCCACTCTCCAAAATGCCTGTGGCAACCCAGTGCCACTCCAGAGCAGGCGAGAGTGGAAAGAACAGCCTTCATTAGCTGAAGTTAAAATATTTTATTTTTACACATTTTACAGAAGTAAGGGACTATATGGACATATGACTGGAGCCCTCCTAGGACTCCTAAAAGAGCCTATGCAAGTGAGAGGCCCTGAAGCTTCTGCGTCAGCAATTCACAATCAATTTGCTTTGGTTCCTGACTTTTATTCCATCCCTAACCACAAACTTGATCATGGAGAATGTTCCTGTTTTAAAATCTCACTTCTGGATTATTTGAATATAGAAAGTATGTTATTCTGTATGAATATATTCTAATTTTAAAATCAGAAAAACAGCACAAGCTTTTAAAGTATATTAGAGTTGATTGGGTTAGACTATAAGGCTGATCACCTGTTTCCCCAAAAACTCCATTTTGAAGGAGTTTAACAATAAATTAGATGCTTAAATATAAAGGGCTACTGAGGAAACTGTTAGAAATTGAACTGTTTTCTATGAAATCTGGAGAATATGAGATCCTATTGTGCTGCAAATATCCTCCTCCTACTACCACCTCCACCTTGCCCAGTGGATAACCTGTAACCACTCAAAGAGGCTCATAGAATCAAGCTGTCAACTTAAAACAGGGGTGTTCATCCTACAGATTTTTCAAATGAAAAAAACAGAATGGGTATCTCCATTAAATGAACACATCTATGTATTAACTAAAAGAAAATGACAGTAACAATGATCATTTCAGACAGAAATCTGAGACACTGAGGTACATGTGATACAAGTGAATTCGCTGAAAACAAGCAGCCTCCTGACTTAGAATGATGGGTGGCTCCGTCTGAGATGTGCAAGTGTGGTAAAAATGTGATTCCTCTTTCCACGTAGTTTGCCAGCCTTTTGAGCCCTCATTTCCATACCCTCCCTCCCCGCGCCTTGTCATTGGCCCATCCCTTATTTCATCTCAGCCCTAATCCCTACCCTGGGGAGCATAGTTGGAGATGGGGTGAAGTTCAAAGATGGGATAAATCTGAGTCACAATGTATTCATAATTAAAATAGATACATTTTTAGAGTTTGCTTTTTAGACTATGTCAAACTATTTTCCACCAAAACCAAATGGCCACATCCAAACAGCAAAAGCCCTAGTGAATTAACTGCATTATGAAGCAAAAATCATAGAAGATTATATAAATATTTTTTAAATTCTTCAGGAATAAATTTATCCCTGTATTGCATAATATTTTCTGGGTGGAACACAATAACACATTTCTATAACTCCATCATGTCTCTTATTGTTCCTTAGCAGCTTATTTTATTTGTCTCAACAGCTATTTTCAATAGAACTGCATTTTAAGGAACTTAAAAAGCATACTCTCTCCTTCCATTCTGATGTCAGATTGTACAATAAAGCAGCCCACTGTGACTATCGGGACGTAAATTTTACCTTTTAGGGAAGAGGAGTATTGAAAAATGCCAGGGGAGCATCTCCTGGTGGGAGAAAGCTAAAGAAATCCCTGTTTGTTCCAAGACAGGTGGCTAGGCATTCATATATCATACATACTTTCTTCGGGGACCATTTTGCTGAGTCAGCAGAGTGAAATCTGGTGAAATAGATCCACAAATCTCCCACTGGCATCCATTTCCTTCATCTAACCTTTATTGCAAGTAGATGTCTCCAAGACTAGGCATTCATCCATTCTTTCATCCGTCAAAAAATGATGACTTTCTGTGTGTTAGGAAACGAAGATATTTCAGTGAACGAAGCAGGCATGGCTGTTGCCTTCATGGAACTAACAGTTGAGCAGGAAAGCTGGAAAATAAACAAAATATTCCTCAAATAACTAATTCATCATAGAAGATTTCCCCCAGTTGTCAGGAGTGCTGAGTTTGACCGTGTGAGGTTGGGGGAGAAAGATGGTTGCCAAGCGCTTCAAATTCGTACTCTTTCACTATGAAACCAGAGGCAAAGCTGTTTCTACTCTAGTCCCCAAAATTGTAAGGCAGGAGGGCCCTTGATAACCCGGAAGGCTTGGATCACCATCCGCACCCCTAAGAGACCTGATCATATGCCCACCCGGTAGGTTGGGGGTCAGGAAAATATGTTCCAGAGGAGTAGAGATGAGGAAATTTGCTGATCAGACCAAAACAAACAAACAAAAACTCTACCCCTATATTCACATATGTATAGGCCATAAGTATCTGTGGCTTATTTTAAAATCAAGCAGAAAGCCGGTGCAATGTTTAAGCAAGGAAGTGATTGATCAGATTTATTTAAATCGCCCTGGCTGCATTGTGGACAATGGCATGGATATAAACTAAGATTAGAGGCAATGAGAACAGTTAGAAGATTATTTCAGACCAGCGAAGATGGTACCTTGGTGATGGCTTTGATGATAAAAACAGAGTCAAGAGCTATTTAGTAGATGAAATATCAACAGGTGGTTGACTATGAAAGGATAATGAAAAGGGAGAGATCAAGACAAACGGATTTCCAAGTTGAGCGACATATTCAGCAATTCTTAACCTAGCCGTACCTTAAACTCACGTGGAGATCTTCACAACAGAAATTCTGATTTAATTGGTTCAGCAGGTGGTCCAGGAGCAGGTATGTTTCAAAGCCCTCAGATGTTTCAAATGTGTACTCAGGTTAGAGAGTCCCTCTAAATGAGACAATCGTTCCAAGGTAGATAACACTGGACAGGGAGGAAGTTTCAGAGAAAATGCCATGCATTCCATCCTGTATGGATTTTTTTCAGAGAGGCTTGTAACTCTTCCAAGTGAGATATCAAGTTAAGAGTTGAATTACATATCCGGGTGTTAGAGGAAAGATCTAAATTGAAGACAGGTGAAAGTGATTGACATTCCTATTGTAATAGAAGTCATGGTTGAAGAGGCAATGGCCAAGGAAAAGAGTATAGTGAGAAAATAAAAGGGCCCTGAAAAACCTCTTATTAAAGATAGAGGATAATGAGTCAGCAAAAGAGACTGTGAAGGAATGTTGGTAAGTTAGAAGGAAACCAGGAAAATAGGCGTTGCCAAAGTCAATGCAAGAGAATGTTTCACGAAGAGAGTGCATAAGTGGGCTGAAAGCTGTGTTTAATTTTGACAAGTCCTGGAACTCCATCCTTCTCCCAACTGTCTAACCTCTGGGTTGATTTTAGGCTCTCCCCGTGATAAGGCTCTACTTTGCCAAAATAACCATTAGCAGAGAATTATGATTTAAAAGTCAAATTGTGGGAAACTCCAAAGCCCATTTTTTGAAGATTTGGAAAATAATTACAATCTCATTTCAGATACTAGACACAAAAGATAGCATTCTATGTTCACATGCAGTCACGATTTCTAGCACTTTCTTATATTATGTTCACCTGTTTGTGGGCTTGCAATTGGCAAGGATTGCAACTCTTTCAGTGTTTGCTAGCATTCTCTCTGTTGCCAAGCAGACACAGGGCAGAACGAATACAGAGTGATCTTTCAGGACTTGTCTTCTCTTCGGGCTCTTACTGTAACATATACAGATTTTTGTTACTGTCACAGTATCCATGTCATTTTATTTCTTTCATGTGTGTCCTCTTATGCTTTCCATGAGAGCAGGTAATATTATTAGATGAGCTTTTATCTCTGGGGCCTGTCACAGTGCCTAGCACTGTGAACTGAATACGTGTTTGCTGAATGAATGGAAAGTTGCATAATTTTTCTGTGAACTCATGAACAGCCAATCTGCAAATTCCATCTCTAAGTACTCTTTCATCGTAGACTGTAAAATATTGTTTAAATAAAGGATGTGGTTTACCCATGTTTAAATTTTAGGTCCATTTTCTATGGAGTTAGTAAAATCTCATTCCAATACAAATTGTTTAATCCCTTGGTGCCGGGGGTTTTCTGCCTGTAAAATAAGAATGGCAATGCTGATTTCCCCTGGCACTGCAGTGAAGACTGTAGAACTCAGAACTCTACTTGTCTGTAAGAGGTACTCGGGTTTGACAACCAGTTGATCACCATTTTTTCTTATTCTATCTGAGTATATGTTGGTTCAGGCACTGTGAGGGGCAACAGATAAGTTCTCTGGATCTATTTACAGCTGCTCCTGGAGCAGTTGCTAAAGGCTGGGTCATGTTGATTGTGTTTGTTTTTGTTTTTGTTGTTTGTTTGTTTGCTACGGGAGTGATTTTTCTAGAGTTCTCCAGCCCCTTTTGGGCTGGACAATAGGAAGTAGGGCAGACCTAGGCCAGCTACAGCAAATGTAGTCAATACTGGTTTTAAGGTCCATCAGACTTGGATAAGTTGTTCAGAGCTAATCTCCCCTCTAGTTCAATTCTGCTATCCAGTTGATGTAAGGGTCTCTTGGTAGAAAACATGTAAAAGAAGTGAGAGATTACCTTATCCAAGGGCAAACTTTCTGACTACAATTTAAATAATAAAATGTATCAACTCACTAGATGCATTGATTGATTGCCAGGCTCCTGAAGTGCCTTACCACATTGTCTCATTTTATATTCATGCAGGTATTGTAGCTATCCCCATTTTACACATGCAGAGAGTGAGGCTCAGAGATGTTAAACAATCTGCCTAGCATCACACAGCTAGCAATAGGCAGAGACCAGACAGAAACTCAAATCTCCCTGACTCCCAGCTCAGCCTCTTCACTACTATTCAATATTGCCCAGTAGATGCTGATTTTCTCTGTGTAGGCTTCTAATGTGCTTTTAGCGTAAAGCTAATTTTCATTAATAGGCTGAATATATGCAATCTGACCTCAAAGGACATACATAGGGGTTTTCTTCTCATTTAAGATTAGTTTGAGGCAAAAACAAAACATGAAATAAGATCAAGTACAGTTGACCTTTGAACAGCACGGGTTTGAACTGTGTGGGTCCACTTATACACTTATTTTCTTCTGCCTCTGCCACCCCTGAGATACCAAGACAAAACCCCTCCTCTTTCTCCTTCTCCTTAGCCTACTCAACATGAAGACTACAAGCATAGAGACCTTTATGATGATTCACTTCCACTTAATAAATAGGAAATATATTTTCTTTTCCTTATGATTTTCTTAATAACATTTTCTTTTCTCTAACTTACCTTATTGTAAGAATACAGGATATAATACATATAAGACAAAAATATGTGTTAATTGACTGTTTATGTTATTGGTAAGGCTTCCAGTCAACAGTAGGCTATTCATAGTTAAGTTTTGGAGGAGTCAAAAGTCAGACATGGATTTTCCAGTGCACAGGGGTTGGTACATTTAACTCCTGTGTTGTTCAAGAGACAACTGTATAATATTTATTCTGATGAATAATCTTGTTAGATTTTAACTGAAATCTAGCTTTTCATTTCTTTCAGCAATTTTTATCATCTACTTTTAAAAGAAAGCCAATTATCTTCTATAGCTTTTCAAATTCCTTTTCCTAATTCTTATACCATTTGTTTGTCTCATTAGATTTATCAGTAGTTTAAGGCAAATAGATGGTGCGTTGAATATTTTAGTAGGTACTCTACTCATGTATAGATGATAGTGGCCCCTGCTCTTGAAACCTACAAGTAAGTCTGGATTTGGGTGCTTTTAACATTATACCTAGGAGGATCACTGCAGATTCTTAAATTTTCATCTACAAGAAACTAACAGTTTCATGGGAGTGAGATGAAAATAAATAAAGGTCACGTTGTGGTCCCTGGGGAAAAACAGTTCCATTTTGTTCAAGAAGTACTAGGTAGACTACAGCGTCAATGTAAGAATGCAGGTCAAATTAATCCTGGGAATTGAAGATAGTAAGTAATTTTCTTCTTAGAGATCAGCTCCAAATGTTTGGTACCAGCTCCCTGAAATTCTGAAATGAGCAACATTCTGAGGCTGTGTCTGGCTTAGTGACAAAGAATGCTATGATCAGTTTGTGATGTCTTCCATTGGTGATAAGGAGTTGTGGCAAGACTGCATACATGCTAGAATTTGCCATCATAAGAGAGAGCAATGGCT